>NC_000006.12:13999393-14150909 GCF_000001405.40 Homo sapiens
TGGGAAACATGCCAAAATTCTGGCTCTACAAAAAATACAAAAATTAGCCTGGTGAGGTGGCTAACACCTGTAGTCCCAGCTACTCAGGGGCCTGAGGCGTGAGGATGGCCTGAGCCTGGGATGTTAAGGCTGCAGTGAGCCGAGATCATCAGCCTTGATGACAGAGCGAGATCCTGTCTCAAACAAACACCCAAAACCAGTTTCTGTTTCTTTATGTTCTTGACAATCCTGGGTATTATCAAATTTTAATTTTTTACCAAACTGATGGGTGTGGAATGGTTTAAATTGCTTTAATTTGCATTTCCCCAATTATTAACTGATTTCAGCAGTTTTTCCATATGTTTCTTGTTTTTTCATGTAATTTGCTCATTTTTCTTTTGGCTTGTTTGTCTTTTCCTCATTGGTCTTCAGGGTATTATTGTGTGAGCTGTTTGCTCATCTTTTGTCAGTTAGACACACTGCAAATATCATTTCCAGCTTGTGGCTTGTCTTTTCAATTTGTAGTGTTTATTGGTGAAATGAAGACTTCAAATTTGATGCAGTCAAATGCATTCATCTTTTCCTTCATGGTTTATAAGTTTAAAAACTTTAAAAGAAATCCTGCTATACTCTGAGGTTATCAAATTTGCCTATATCATTTCCTCAAATTTTACACATTTCTATATGCAGGTCTTTAATCACCTGGAGTTGTTTATTTTGTATTAGGTAGGACAGACTAGGTTATACCAAAGAAACAACCCCAAATCGCAGAGGTTTAACCCCAAGTTGTGTCTCATTTATACAAACTGCATGTCCACTGTGGGTTTGCAGGCGTCTCTGCTCATCAGAGTCCCTGAGGGATGCAGGTTGAAGGATGCTTTTCTAGACAGGGGCATCTGAAATGCCTGCAGCAAGGAGGGGGTGTGGAGAGTCATATACATGGCGCTTTGGTTCTGCTTGAAGGTAACACACATTTCTTCTGATCAGTTTCAGCAGCCAAAGCAAGTCACAGGGACCAGGTCTAGCTTCAGAGGGGACAAAGAGGTACAACCCCATCCTGGGCCCAGAAGGCAGATACAGTTGGTGCATTGGGTGAACAGCCCTAATAATGACTCATAACTTTGAAGTAAGAAATTAATTTTTATGGAAATAATCAATAGCATCAGCTATTTTTGGAATCTCCAGTACTTCTTGGTCTGTAACATCACCTGTCACTTACCAAGTTTTCAGGTTGGTGTGAGTTTTCTGGCTTTCTCTTCTGTGTCATTGTTCTACTCGTTCGGTTCTGTGATGACTCCCCAGTGTTAATCACAGGAGCTTCATGCAGCTATTAATCTGATATCTTGCAGTAAGAGACCCCTAACCTGACTGTCTCCTTTAAAACGATGTTACCTGGGCTTGGTGGCATGCTCCTGTAGTCCCAGCTATTCAGGAGGCTGAGATGGGAGAATCGCTTGAGCCCAGCAGTTCTGAGCAACATCGCAAGACCCTGTCTCAAAAAACAAAACAAAACTACAAAGAGTAAATTTGTTTCTGCTCATCCCAATATTTTGCTTTTGCTATGAATTTCTAAATCAGTTTGTCAAGTTTTATGAAGTCCATCTTAGAAGTTTGTCTCGTGCTCCACAGCAAGCACTTACCAGTGCCAGGATGTGAGCCTAGGATACTGATTCCCATGGGGAAAAGCAGCAGCATTGCCTCTGAGCTGCTGCTAGCAAGCCAGGAGAGCGTAATTGTCTTGTGTTCTCCCCAAGCTCCTTTAGTGCATTGGGTCTTACTTTTGTAACTTCTACAGCATGGGGCTGTCCAGAGGAAACAGCACTTGGTAAACATTTATTGGGTTTAACTAAATGTGAATGTGTGAGACAAGAAGTCTAGATGCACCCAGCAGAGAGGGTCTCAGAATATTAACAGCCCCGGGGGGTGGAAACACAGAATCTGCTTCCTCCAATGAAGTGGCCTGATCTCGTCACTAAATATTGGAAGGAGGCCACGTTACAGAGCAGAGACTGAATTTCTCATCCACATCCGGAGCCAGGCATTCTGGAAATGAGGTCTGTTTGCCACCTCTCCCCAAAGCATTGATCTCTGATCATGAGTCATTAGCCCCCAAGCACCTCCTCCCAGCTGGCTCATAAGAATTAATCAGCTTCATCACTGCAGTCATTCCCCTCGGGGAAAATGGTCAGCGTATACACAACAAATCCTTGTTGAATTGGACTGAAGGGAGTCTAGCTGTTAATCTCTCCTCAAATATGGCTGGTTGGAGAAAAAGGAATGTAACGGAACATATCAAAGGAGATGTCTCTCCTGGCCGCTTGACAACTCTGGTGGGATCTTCCCATGACCAGCGCTGCTGTATGACTCACGGCTCCACTTCTTTCCCTGCCCTTTTGTGGCAGGAAGGGAAGATGCTGTGCTTCTCACTCATGAATTGTGCTTCTTATGACTCAGTCGGCCAGCCTGTTAGCATTGATTTGTTCTTGGTGGACACCGTTGGGCAGAAGGCCCTGCTAACCACAGAAGCGAGGGTGAAGTGTGCGCTCACCACCATCAGCAAGGTCAAAACTCAGAGGCTGTTTATTTCCATCCAAGTGCCTCATACTTTTGCTGCCCCAGGTGAATGATGGTGCCTTGATTATGGGCCAAGAGGCAGATGCATGCATGCTTTTCCACACAGCACCCTTTTATTGAATGCAAAATAGAACTTTAAAGAAAAAAAATGGTGAAGTTTAACGTTAGTCGGTTTTACTAATAACTGTATTACAAAAGCTTGGTACTACATGAAGTGTAATAATTGGAGCTATTCAAGTAACGGAAGGTGTTGCCCCGAGAACAGTGAGGTCCCATCACTGGACGTGTTCCACGGAGACTGCTGAAGGTGAGAGGTGACAGCGGGCTGGCAGCCCTGGCTCGCTCTCGGCGCCTCCTCGCTTTGGTGCCCACTCTGGCCGCGCTTGAGGAGCCCTTCAGCCCACCGCTGCACTGTGGGAGCCCCTTTCCGGGCTAGCCAAGGCCGGAGCCGGCTCCCTCAGCTTGTGGTGAGATGTGGAGGGAGAGGCGCGGGCGGGAACCGGGGCTGCGCGCGGTGCTTGCAGGCCAGCGCAAGTTCTGGATGGGCGTCGGCTTGGCTAGGCCCCGCAGTCGGAGCGGCCGGCCAGCCCCGCTGGCCCCAGGCAGTGAGGAGCTTAGCACCTGGGCCAGCAGTTGCTGTGCTCGATTTCTCGCTGGGCCTTAGCTGCCTCCCCACGGGGCAGAACTCGGGAGCTGCAACCTGCCATGCCTGAGTCTCCCTCCCGCCCGCCCGCGGTGGGCTCCTGCGCGGCCCTAGCCTCTCAGACGTGTGCCGTCCCCGCTCCACGGCTCCCAGTCCCATCGACTGCCCAAGCGGTGAGGAGTGTGGGTGCACGGCCAGGACTGGCAGACAGCTCCACCTGCAGCCCCACTGGGGTAGCAACTGGGTGAAGCCAGCTGGGCTCCTGAGTCTGGTGGGGACTTGGAGAATCTTTATGTCTAGCTAAGGGATTGTAAATACACCAATCAGCACTCTGTATCTAGCTCAAGGTTTGTAAACACACCAATCAGCACTCTGTGTCTAGCTCAGGGTTTGTGAATGCACCAATGGACACTCTGTATCTAGCTAATCCAGTGGGGAGGTGGAGAACTTTTGTGTCTAGCTCAGGGATTGTAAATGCACCAATCAGCACCCTGTCAAAACGGACCAATCAGCTCTCTGTAAAGCAGACCAATTGGTTTTCTGTAAAATGGACCAATCAGCAGGATGTGGGGGGGGGGGGGCCAAATAAAAAAATAAAAGTAGGCTGCCCCATGCCACAGTGGTAACTCTTTTGGGTTCTCTTCTACCGTGTGACAGGTTTGTTTATTAATTGTTTTTGGTAAGTTTTGTTGCTGCTGGTTGTGGGGGGTACGTACTGCTTTTTTTGAGCTGTAGTATTTTTGGGAAAGGTCTTGTAGTTTCACTCTTGAAGTTAGTAAAACCACTGAACCTACTGGGAAGAAGGAACAACTTCAGACTCTTATACTTAAGAGCTGTAACTTTCATCTGGAAGGTCTGTAGCTCTACTCGTGAGCAAGCGGGACCACTGAACCCCCCCAACCACCAATTAACGAATGAAACTCCTGATATATCCGAACCTCAAAAGGAACGAACTTTGGATATACCACCTTTAAGAACTGTAATGCTCACCGTGAGGGTCCGTGGCTTCATTCTTGAAGTTAGTGAGACCAAGAACCCACCCATGCTGGACACAAAGGGAGCATGTATATATATATATATATATATATATATATATATATATATCCACGTTGGGAAAGAAATCTATGTTATGGAGGAAGTTAGACCAAATAGTGTCTAGGACCCCTTCTATATTTTCCTGAAGTTGCTGTGACGTAGCGGAAACCCAGGGCTTAAACAACAAAATTTATTTTTCTCTTTTTCTGGAGGCTCGAGGGCTGAAATCAATGTTTGGGCAGGGACAAGCTCCTTCTGATGCCCCAGGGAAGGCTCTGCTCCAGCCTCTTTCCAGCTTCTAGTTCTCTGGCTTGTGGCGGTGTTGTTCCAGCTTTTACGTGGCATTCTCCCTGTATGTATGTCTGCATCTAGATTTCTCCTTAAAAGGTCACAAGTCCTGTAGGATTAGTTTTCCTCTGGCGTGAGTTCATCTTGACTAATTACATGTCCAACAACTGTATCTTCGAATTAAGTTTCAGATAAGGCCACATCCTGAGGTAAGAGGGGCTAGGACTTGAACATACGAATTTGCAGGGGACACAATTTAACCCATAACACTTTCCAACTCTGCAATTTGATTGACCAGAATAAAGACATATACAAGTATAACTAAAATAAGGCACCCATTTACGCTATTCGTAGCCGTTTTTAGTTAACTGCGCATCTAAACTTGGCATTCACGTGTCTGGTCTTAAAGAGAACGTGTGTTTTTTTCTTATCCTGAATTCCTTTCAGAAGACCTTTCACTGTCCATATTCCATTAGCTCCATGGAGGACTTACTTCCTGCAGGCTCTGCTTGCCTCCCACAAGAGATTCTTTGCCTTGATTGCACTTAATAGAAGTATAATCTGGCCTTCAAATCACCCGTTCATTTGATTTTCCCAGTAATCCCTTTGCTCTCTGTGTCTGCATTTGCCAGCTGGGTCTAGAGCTGACTTTTTCCCATCTGAAGGGAGGATGCTTCCCCCGTTAACATTCGCTTTTCTTCCTTTGAACCGTGAGGGTGTGTGGATGATCCCTCAGGACTTAAACCCCGACAAACCTCAGCAACACCAGAACATCGCTTTCCAATCCCTCCTTAATCAGAACGTAATGAAACTTTGAAACAAAAGCTTTTCAAATTAGATGAATGATTCCATCACAGGAGATCAAAGGCAGGACAGCTAATTAGGACAAAATCTTGTCCACAGAGTTTCTCTGGTAATAATGGAAATATTCTTCTTATCATATTACAAGAAAAATAGGAAAATTCATATATCCGGTATAATTTCAACTGTGGGGACAAAACAGAAAAAGGGCTGTAGTGACTCCAGGGAACGTGTGAACAGTGGTTATCAGCGGATCACAGAATGCAGGTGATTTTAATTTTTTTCTTTTCTACTTGCCAGTATTTTTCAGATGTCTTTCAATTGCCTGTGTTTCTTTTATCCTTTCTCTTTCTTTTGTTGATGAAGGCACAAGGATAGAAGTTCCTGCTCCTCCAAGGTGTCATATAACCCGTCGGGCTCAGCCCTCCAATAATTGAAAACGTTCCCTCAATAACTGGTTGAATAGCTGTAGAACAAAGGTGGTTTGAGCTGTAGAGTTTCGTATAAGAAATAATGTAGAATGGCCATTTATCTCATTTTCTCATCCAATTTACACTTCCAATGCATGTCATATGCCATAGGTCATGATGAAGTTGTGTTCAGGAGCCCAAGGTTAGATGAAAAGAGGAGTTTAGGTGAGGGCCACAAAGCTGCTAGTGATGGAAGCCAGTTGCACAGGCTACAGTCTTCTAAATTGTTTCCATAAAAGAAACTTGTGAATTTTGGTACTGGAAACCAACAAACTGGGGGAACATGAGTGGAGGGAGATAGGAGGACTGAGCCTAGTTTCCTGACCAGCCCTCTTGCTTGATTTATGTAGAGCTGTGTGATAACTAAGGCCCAGATTGGAATACATTTTATTATTTCAAATTCCAGCATGAAAGCAAAAGTCAGTGCATTCCTTCAACCCATTGCAAATCTTCATAGCAACAGAAATAGGTGGGCCTCCCAGGTATGAATGATAAAGAGCCATTGAGGGCATTAAGACACTACCCAGCTGCCACGACTTTTCTCAGAAAAACCTTCTGTTCCTGCCCTCAGTGAGGAACTCCACAGTAAACTGTTCTGAACACAAGAAAAATGGAAATTCATCTCCTCAAGATTTTTATTTTATGACCTAAACAGAGAACCCCAGGCTACTTCCAAGAATGCGTCTAGATGGGTAGCCAAGAGCTTTCTAGTGATGAATTCTCAGAGTAGTGCTAAGAGAAACGCAGGTGTTTCTATTAATGATGATGGGCACATGGGCATGCTCCTTGTTCTACTTGAATGCATCCTTTACGCAGCATAAAAATAAGGACCACACACATCTGCTGCCCTAAATTTGAGGAAAGCATTTCCAGTAGAAAATTGGGTTTTTCTTTCTTTTTTTTTTTTTTTTTTGAGACAGAGTCTCATTCTGTCGCCCAGGCTGGAGCGCAGTGGCACAATCTTGGCTCACTGCAACCTCTGCCTCCCGGGTTCAAATGATTCTCCTGCCTCAGCCTCCTGAGTAGCTGGGACTACAGGCACGTGCCACAACGCCCAGCTAATTTTTGTATTTTTAGTAGAGACGGGGTTTCACCATGTTAGCCAGGATGGTCTGGATATCCTGATCTCGTGATCCACTCACCTTGGGCTCCCAAAGTGCTGGGATTACAGGCATGAGCCACCGCGCCCAGCCGGGTTCTTTTCTTGAATCACCCCAATGAGGACTTTTCTGTGGAACACAGAATGTCACAGAATTGACTTTTTTTGTCCCAAGTGAGGGGTGTATCCCACTTTGACTGCACAGTCATGGAGTTAAAGCCTAGAGTAGAGGAGGTAATTTGCACCTTAGCGTTGAGATTTTATTGAATAATACCATTTGCTTTTTTCACACAGGAAAATATCCATTTCTATCTTTAAACTGATCTGAAAATTTAGGACCAGAGTGGAAGTCAACACTGGCCCTGCGTGTAGTTTCAGAAAAGGCGCCTCCTGGACCTGCCGCACTTTGATACCCTCCTTTGCACACCCCATTTCATTTGTCCTGCTATCAACTTGACATCAGCATTTCCACACCCAAATATCCCTTATATGCTCTTCTGACAGTGAGGATGTTTGCTCCCTACTGAAACAGAGTTTAGAACTCACACCTTGTTAACAGGTTGTCAAAATTCGTTTTGCTAGTCTATTGTTTTTCTTCTAATACAAAAAGATTTGCTGATTTGTTCTTTCGGATTATTATACCACATTTCCTCTGTGTCTAAGCCGTGCTTGAAAGAACAGGTGCGGCAGTTACCTTGGGAAGGTCCTTCTAGCGAAATATCGAGTCTATCATTTTGTGAATTGCCGTCCCACCCCTCCGCATCCCTCCCCTTTCCCTTTCCTCCCCACCCCGTCCCCCCCATTTCATTCGCTTTCTTCCTCTCTTCCAAGTAATAACTGCTTATCAGAATTCATGGCTCTCTTAGGATGGAGGGAATTAATTTCTTTTCTCTCTCTCTCTCTTTTTTTTTTTCGAGACAAGGTCTTGCTCTGTTGCCCAGACTGGAGTGCAGTGGTGTGATCATAGCTCACTGCACCCTCAGCCTCCCAGGCTCAAGTGATCCTCCCACCTCAGGCTCCCAAGTAACTAGGACTACAAGCATATGCCACCACAACTAGCTAATTTTTAATTTTTTTGTAGAGATGGGGGTCTCCCTATGTTGCCCAGGCTGGTCTTGAACTCCTGGGCTCAAGTGGTCCTCCTGCCTCGGCCTCCTACAGTGCTGGGGTTACAGGTATGAGCTACTGTACTCAGCTTGAATTTCTATAGACGATTTATCCTTATCTTGTCCTGCACTCTCATTTGAATTTTCCCAATGTAAAAGTTTCATTTTGGCCGGGCAAGGTGGCTCATGCCTATAATCCCAGCACTTTGGGAGGCTGAGGCAGATTACCTGAGATCAGGAATTCGAGACCAGCCTGACCAATATAGTGAAACCCCGTCTCTACTAAAAATACAAAAATTAGCTGGGCATGGTGGCATGTGACTGTAGCCCCAGCTACTCAGGAGGCTGGGACAGGAGAATTGCTTGAACCTGGGAGGCGGATGTTGCAGTAAACCAAGATCCTGCCACTGCGCTCCAGCCTGGGCAACAAAGTGAGACTCGTCTTAAAAAAAAAAAAAAAAAAAAAAGTTCCATTTTGAGGACTCTCCCTCTTTCTGCATCCACTGCAGACATTTTTCAGAGCCTGTTGCTGGTAACTTTCTTCACAGAACACTGATGCTTTGTTGGTGGCTGGGAAGCCAGTGGAAGCTTTTTCAGGGTGGCTGCCTTGATCTTCTCATTGAAAACAGTATACTGCTGACTGTGATTCCTACTGTTATGGGAGAGAGATGAAGTTTTTTCTTTTTCTCTTTCTTTTATATTCTTTTAAAAAACCTGACAATTTTCTCCAACCCACCTGAGATCTAATTTTAACTTCATGATCCTTTATATGTTTTGACATTCTAGAAATCAAAATGTCAGCGAGATGATCTCCTGGCAGAGTTTGATCAGTTATTACACAGACTTTACCAAAATAGCGATTAGTCTTGCCTGTCTGTTTTCTGTGGAAGGGGGACTTAAAGGATGGGTTGAGCTTTAAGTCTCTACAGGGGGATAGCATGGCAGAGGAATTCAGTCTGAGATCTTATCCGGCTCTGTCACTTACTACTTCTGTGTTCAGAGGAAGCCATTGGCCTTCTCTATCTCAGTTTCCCTGCCTGTAAAATAATCATAAAGGTCCTTTTCTAATTGGATGTTTGCTCCATGCCCATTTTTTACTTAATAGCAAGCTCCTTCAGTCATCTCTCTGAGATAAAGTCAGATAAAGTTTAGGGAGTCAGAAAAGAAAATGAGGGGTGTTAAGTGTCTCAGCCTTGTGTTAGAGGCCTGATTTTCCATCATCACTCAAAAACATTTGTTAGGGACTGATTTGTGGTGGACCCTGGGCTGCTGTCCCCATTTCTCTGTGCAGCATGCCTTAGGGCTGTAGGAAGTCTTTTTTGGGTTTCTCTTTCACCATTTATAAATTGCACATTATATGTTATTATAAATTGCACATGTTATATGTTATGCATTGCATATGTTGTATGTTATAAATCGCACTGTTGTATGTTATAAATTGCACGTTATATGTTATAAATTGCACATGTTATATGTTATGCATTGCATATGTTGTATGTTATAAATCGCACATATATGTTATAAATTGCACCTGTATGTTATAAATTGCACATATTGTATGTTATAAATTATACATGTTATATGTTATACACATGTTATAAATTGCACGTTTTATGTTATTGCACAACTCTCTTATGAGTGCCCCTTTCACCGTTTATAAATTGCACATGTGACTTTCTACCTCCCTTGCCTCATGAATCTGTTATTAGGCTACCTGGGAGTGCTTTAAAATGCTCTGAGCTCATTCGAGAAAACAAATTTTCTGTTTTCCTATTTTACAAATTGTTGTGGGTCTGATAAGAACAAATGCATTCCCTTATGCCTCTGCACTCAATATGAATCTTACAACACTGGCATTAACAAGATCTTTGAAGTAGCCATCAGCCTCAATAGCATGCTAAAGACACTTCTGGTTTCATGGAATATACCGCATTGCAAGCTAGAGAAATAAATGCTGGAATCTATTTTTTGAGGAGAGAAAAATCTATCAGTAGCACCGAGAGATGTTCATGATGACATTACTCTTAAGATCATTGCCTCTCTACAACCTGCTAAGTGCTACGGAAGATAGCATGGGCTAATTTTGAGTGTGATGGCCTCAGCTCTTTTCCTGCATCTGCTGGCAGGGCTGTCGTCAGTCCTACTGGCTGCTTCTGGAAGACACAGCTTACCCCCAGCAACATGTCCAATCCTAACTCCTCCCATTGCTGTTCCCCTCTCAGGGCTTGTGTGAGTTTGTTGTCTGCACCCCACAAATGCCATCAGCTGCATTTCCAAAGCCCCTGCTGGGCCTTTCTGGGTTAAGCTCCTGCACACAATGGAAACATGCAGAGACTTCAGGAACAGAGAGTCCACTCAAATACAAGCTTTGCTGTTGCCCTCTCACAAAAAACATTGACCGTCTTTGAATGTCCTCTAGAAAATGGGGCTCTGCAGGGCAAGGTTTAGAGACTACCCTGAATTTAGGACAGAAAAAAGCATCTTATGAGAATAGGTTCTGGCTAGTACACTCTGCCCTCTTTACACCAAAGCCCTTCATTCCATTTTTATTTCTTGCTACCCACAACCAATTATTAATAGTTAAAAATCTCTCCTCATGTCCTTTCACAGTGTTTTACTATTTGCTAGTGTTTGACAACCTGCAGATGTCATCAGGAATTACCACATCTTCTATTACAGATCAACCTGGCTCTGAACAAGGGGCCAGGCATCACTGTACAATTACACTGAACTATTGTGACCGGTATGAGGAATCAGCATTTGTGTGTGTGTGCTTAAGACTGATGTATAGCACACAAAACACCTAAAGGGGCAGAAATACATGTCCATAGAAGTAATAAATAGGACACACAGGGTGTGTGTGTGTTGCACTTCTTTCTTCAGTGTTCTCAAGGAATAGCGATGACACTAAAAACTTATTGTGCGAAATATTTGAATTAATACTTATCTGTTAGTGTAAATGAACATTAACAGTTTCTTACCTGTATATAGAGTTTCACAGGTTACAAAACATCCCAACACCCCTGTCAACCAAATGAGTAGAGAATAACTGATTATGCAATGATTTTTAACAATGACCTGCCACTATTTACTCAGTCTTAGATACTCAACAAACATTCTAAGTCATTACCACTATTGAATCTCTGTCGCTCTATTCCAGAAGCTTGTTGGGCAGACTTTCAAAGTTTCCAGTTGTCTTATGATTGTAGAGCCTGCATTTCCAATAATGCTGGAATCAGTTTAGAATTAAGCCCTGGTTGGTGTGTGTCTTCTAATACAGGATGAGGAGAGCCATTTAGTCCCTGGCAGGACCTGCCCAAGTGTCAGATTTTCCACTTGCTCATTTGTTTGGGCCCTGAGTATGCTCCATGGTTGCCAGCTGGGGATGAGGTGCTCATCACTGGAGGTGTTCAAGGGTAGGTATGTAACACTTGTGTAGATGTTAAGGGGAAGTGTGAAAGGTTGTACTAGGAAACTGTGGTTGAGCTTGGCTCATTGCTGTTTTCTCTTCTTATTGGGCATCAACTAGATCACCCTTCCCAAACTCCCTTGCAGTTTTAAACTCTTATTTTGTGAAATCACTGAGCTTTCTGTATTTACTTGTTTTAGCAGCTAGCAGTTACCTCAGCTAATACAGTAACCTTTAGCATTCCATCCAATCAGAGTCTAGGGTCATAAATCTGTTCTTTCTTTCTTTTTTTAAGATGGGGTTTTTCTGTGTTACCCAGGCTGGGGTGCAGTGCTCACTGCAGCCTCGACCTCCCATGCTCAGCCTCTGAAGTAGCTACTTCAGCCTCTGAAGTAGCTGGGCCTATAGGCATGCACCACCATACCCAGCTTTTTTAAAAAAATATTTTGTAGAGACAGGGTCTCACTATGTTGCCCAGGCTGGTCTCCAACTCCTGGGCTCAAGTGATCCTCCCTCCTCAGCCTCCCAAACTATGGGAATTATAGGTGTGAGCCACTGTGCCTTAAGGTGATAAATCTTGACAGACAAGACTCAGTTATGATTTCTTTTGACTTTCTCCCCACTTATAGTTGATTCTTCTTATGTCTTCTCTCCTCTCTCCACAGGGTATCTATTTACCCATTTTTATAGGGTCTCAGATTCACTCATGGACAGGGAGGTGGCTAATGGTGGGTTTAGCCTATCCAATTACCCAGCTATATTAGTCAGAGAGTCAAAGTTCTTCAGAGAAACAGAACCAATAGGACACACACACACACACACACACACACACACACACACACACACACAGAGAGAGAGAGAGAGAGGAGATTTATCATGGGAATTGCCTCATGGGACCGTGGAAGCTAAGAAGTTCCATGATGTGCTATCTGCAAGCTGGAGAACCAGAAAAGCCAGTGGGGGTACTTCAGTCTCAGTCTGTAAGTCTGAGAACCAGGGAAGCTGGTGATGTAAGTCCTTGTATTTGTCTGTTTTCATGCTGCTGATAAAGACATACCTGAGACTTGGTAAATTATAAAAAAAAAAAAAAGAGGTTTAATGGACTCACAGTTCCACGTGGCTGGGGAGACCTCACAATCATGGCAGAAGGTGAAAGACGTGTTTAACATGGCAGCAGGCAAGAGAGAGAATGAGAGCAAAGTGAAAGCAGAAACCTCTTATAAAACCATGAGATCTCATGAGATTTATTCACTACCATGAGAATGGTATGGGGGAAACCACCCCCCATGATTCAGTTATCTCCCACTGGGTCCCTCCCACAACATGTGGCAATTATGGGAGCTACAATTCAAGATGAGATTTGGGTGGGGACACAGCCAAAGCATATCAGTCCTGGTCCAAGTCCAAAGAGCTGAGAAACAGGAGTGGTGTGGGAGCCTGCTAGTGTAAGTCTCAGATAGACTCTGAAGGCCTGAGAACCAGGAGTGCCAGTGTCGGAGGACAGGAGAAGATGGATGTCCCAGCTCAAAAGGAGAAAGTGAGTTAGCCTCTCCTCTGTCTTTTTGTTCTATGCAGGCCATCAAAGGATTGGATAATGCCCTTCCACACTGAGGAGGGTGATCTTCTTTACTCAATCTGCTGATTCAAATGCTAGTCTCTGCTGGAAACCCTCACAGTCATACCCAGAAAGAATGTTTGACCAGCTATCTGGGCATCCCTTAGCCCAATCAAGTTGACACATTAAATTAGCCATTGGACCAGTTTGAAAGCACGCATTATTTACCGGTCATGCATTCAGCCTGCTGTGGTTTGCTGCATGAGTCCAGGGGGTAGGCTGGGTACACAGGACAAATCCCAACCTGGGAACAAGGGTGACATAGCCTTAGGACATGGTGATTACAGATGGAGTTTGACAGAGCAGACTCCAGGGCCCAAATTGGAGACTGGGCAGGGATGGTGGAATCATTGGAACATGGTGCCTGCTGGAAGAGTTGCCTGCAAGAGGTGCCAAGCCCTGATTTCCCAACAACACCACTAAGCTGAGTTCCACTTCCCTACACTGCTGTAGGGAAGTACTTCATCTACTGCTGTAGAAGCCAAGCAAGCAAGTGCTAAATGGCTCTTGCATTCCTTCTGTTGTTTCCAAGGGGGTCCCTAATACACTGCACAATCGTTAAGTAATTAATAGAAGCAGAGAGTTCAGAACGACGGAGAAGGAATTTAATGAAATTTGTTTTTAAGGGTAACGAATTATTGATAATCCAAAGGTGTTGGCTCTAGTTAGCATAAACCTCTTCCTGGGAAATTAGGTGTTCTTTTTAGAGTAAATTTGAATTGGGCTATCTCTCAAAGGGAAAATCATTCTAAGAGTGCATCTTCCCAAAAATTCTGGTTTTGCTTTTAAACCTTTGAAAAATTATTATTGTTATCATCCTCTTCCTCATCTTCATCATTGGATCTAGAATCTGAATAAAGGTCAGAATTCTGGTTCAAGAGATTAAAGCTTTTAACCAATATATTGGCCATTTTTGTTAATGTATATAATGGAGTATGATGAATGGGTCTGCTCTGCCTCCCATCAGAAGGCAGGTGGTGGTGGTGGTGGCAGTGTGTGTGTGTGTGTGTGTGTGTGTGTGTAGGTGTGTGTGTGAGAGAGAGGTTTCATCAGACTTTTAAGATAAAACCATTTTTATCACATTATATTTGTCAATTACTCTTGACCCAACCAATTCACAATCGTATTCTAATAAACAAATATGAATAATACTGAAGTGCTTTATTTAAATGGAAATTTTGCATAATTTGAATGTATTTATTTACCTATAG
Organism: Homo sapiens; assembly: GCF_000001405.40. Classification (NCBI taxonomy): domain Eukaryota; kingdom Metazoa; phylum Chordata; class Mammalia; order Primates; family Hominidae; genus Homo; species Homo sapiens. The sequence continues at coordinate 14,013,624 of NC_000006.12, forward strand.
CCTTTTAATAAAGTACTTCTTATGTAGAATTAGATTACTTTAATAAGCATTGAAGGTGAGGCAATTATTCAGCCCTGACATATAGTACTTGAGGGTTTTTTCTCTTCTTTTACTCAACTCTTTGATATTGCATAAGCTATTCACAAATATCAGTTGCTGTTGACATCCACACCAACAAATAAATTTAGCACAATACACCAGAGGCTAGAAAGTAAAGCTTTAATTAACCTTTAGAGGATTTTCTAAGATCAGAGGTTTAAAAAAATTAGAGGTGGGAAGGTCCCTTACAAAGGTAATACATGCATTTTCTCCTGACTTTTTGATGTACCCACAGAGCAAGGGGGGACCTCTGATGTACCTGCATAAGGCAGATTATCCATTTAAAAATGTATTCATGGAATGTCAGTTCCAAGAAAAAAATATACTCATATATTTTATTTTATTTATTTATTTAGATGGAGTCTTGCTCTTGTCGCCCAGGCTAGAGTACAGTGGCGCCATCTCAGCTCACTGCAACATCTGCCTCCCGGGTTCAAGTGATTCTCCTGCTTCAGCCTCCCAGGTAGCTGGGATTACAGGTGGCCACCACCACACCCAGCTAATTTTTGTATTTTTAGTAGAGATGGGGTTTCACCATGTTGGCCAGGCTGGTCTTGAACTCCTGACCTCAGGTGATCCGCCTGCCTTGGCCTCCCAAAGTGCTGGGATTACAGGCATGAGCCACCATGCCCAGCCTACTCATACACTTTAAATGGCCCAATACATACCTGCCCTGCTGAAACCAGTGAGGAACATCAATAAATGTGACACAATGATTAGTTTAAAATTTAAAAGCCCTAGTTCCAGCAAAGTTATGAGAAGGTGTGATTTCCTCCCTCTTTCTTTTTGAATTCTTCTCTTCACTCAAGGAATTCTCCTGCCCTGCGTTAGGAGCCAGATGCTGTCCTGCTGCTTCTTCATTTCCCAGAATGTGAGGGGCCCTGTTCATGTTGGCAGCCCCTCCCAACCTCACATGCCCCACACCGGGATCTAAGCTCACCCACTGGGACTCCCAGCCTTCTCTCTCCACTTTCCAACACGATGAGAATTTCCAAGTTCCAGATGTAGTACCAAATGCATTCCATTTAATCCCAAGACCATCCTTTGCAGCAGGTGTTAGTATCCCTACTGTGTATGTACAGAAACTGAGATGAGAAAGGCCAATGACTTAGCCAAGGAATGCACGCATGGGAGAGGCCAATCCTCTCCTTTCCTCTTTTCTTAAGGGAGGTTTCCTGGAAATATCTACTTCTTTGGTTTGCTTGTTTGTTCCCAGAATCCTTTGTTATTTAGACCTAGCCTGTTACCAATCCCTGTCCATTCTTCCTTTGGACTGTCTGGTCCCACAGACAGTCAACCTCACTTCTGCATTTTTTCCTCCACCTATTTGCCACTATCTTAGTCCATTTTGTGCTGCTATAATAAACCATCACAGACTGGCTAATTTATAAAGAACAGAAATTTATGTACCCACAGTTCTCAAGGATGGGATAAATCCAAGATCAAGGTGTTGATATCTGGTGGGGACCATTTTGCTGTGTCCTCACATAGTGGAAGGTGGAAGGGTAAGAGGTGACGAATGTTGTGTCCTCACATGGTAGAAGAGTGAGAGAGTGAGCCCACTCCTCCAAGCTCTTTTTATAGCAGCATTGATCCAGTCATGAGGGTGGAGCCCTCGCAACCTCCATTGGGCCCCACCTCCTGACACTGTTGCATTGGGGATTAAGTTTCCAACACATAAACTTTGGGGAACACATTCAGACCATGTCAGCCACTCACTCCAGTCCATTCCCCAAGCTCCTCCCAGGCTCATCATTCTCAAACGCATCACTGTGCTGGCTCTCAGGCTCGGAGTCAGCAGGATCAGAAACATCTCCTGAGAGCCAGTGACGGATGGACGGGTGGCTGGGACGCTGGATGAAGAAGATCTCCATGACTGTGGTTCTTGCTCTTCCTCCATTCCTCTGCTCTCTCTCCTCCTCTCCTTTTCTCATCCCTCCCACTCTTCTTCATTTTCCTGAGATTATTAGATAGACCAGGAACAAAACAGCTCTGGCACCTGTTGCTCTCCTAGTCCAGCACCTCCACTCCAGCCTTTAGCACACACATCCACACCTCCACTTGCCTGGCCCCTTTACCACATCATCTGGATTTCTCTACCTGGCCGTGTCATTCAGGGTCCAATCAGGGAACAGAAACCACACAGTAATTTGAATGTGGGATGTTTAATATAAAGATTACTTAACTGTAACAGTGAAGTGATAAGAAGATGTAAAGAAAACTCTGAAGGTGACCCTGAGGCTGATGGAGAGCATCTGGGGAAGGACAAGTTTAAAGAAGACCCCTCTTCAAGGCTGAGATCCGGAATCCGGACTGCATCAGAGGTGTGGTTGTAGCCCACTGAGTGGCAGAAAGGTTCCCTGGGTTGCCCATGGTTACTGGACAAGGAGAAATCAACAGTCTTGGGTAGAGGCTAAGGCTGGTGCAAGAGTGCATGGAGGGCTGCAGGCGTCAGGGGCCTGCTCTCCAGCAGGGTAGTGAAGACTGGGGCATGCCAGGCCTGCATTAGGAACATCGTGGTGAGGTGGTCACCATGGGTGGCCAAGAGGTGGGGCTGGGCCATGAGCCTGAAGACTGCACACTCGGCACATGGCTGGGGCAGTGATAAGAGCCATACAGCTGGAGGCAGGAGAAGACAGTAGCAAGCCAGACCCAGGAGGAGAAGCCCCTTCCTCCTGCATAGACTCAGAGCACGCTACTGACAAAGCTGAATATTGTGTTTGGTGCAAAGGAGAAACGCCCGAACTCTTGTCACAGAGCAGATTTGGGGCCGAGAGGCAAGGGATCAACGGATTGCTAGCTGGACACCAGCCTTTCCCTGCGTCCCCAGTCCGGCTCACCCCACTTCCCGGATTCTGTTTTTCAGCACTCGCCCTCTGGCCTGTCAGTCTGGCTGCTTCGGCCGGCTCCCTCCAGGCTCTGCTCATTCTATTAAGGAATTCTATTCACTTCCATTAAAGAAAGCATTCTTCCTTCTGTCTTCTTGATCAAACACTACCCATTCTGCAGGCCCAGCGCAGGGCCCAGGCAGGTATCTGTGAACCGCCTCCTATTCAGTCTTCTGTTGCAGTTCAGCCAGCTCTGTGACAGTGAATTCTTGTCACTTCTTGAGTGTCTCCTTAATTAGATTGTAGCTTCCTTGAGAACAAGGACTGTGTCTCTTTCCCTCTGTTTTCCTATATGCCTGGAATAATGCCTTAGTCGATATTATAATGTGATTGATTGATGGCGTGTGAATTTCAGGGTTAGGGGAGCTAGTTGGGAAATGTTTAGAGATATCTGGAAAGAAATTCAGTGGCTACTCCTTTCTCCACGTATACCCTAGACCCCAGTGCTCACTGGAGACTGAGAGCCTCCCTGACACAGAGGACTGTTTATATCCTTTCTGGTGCTATGAAATAGTGTGATTGCAACAGCACTGATTAATAGTGTGGAGTTCCCCTCCTGTAACTCTGTGTACTGGTGAAGGAGATGTAAAAATGTTAGGAGCAAACGAAAATGATTTTGACTGCTCTGACCTGAGTCTGGTTGGGGGAAAAATATCTTCCTCCCTCATCACTTTTAAAAAGCAGAGTTCCTTTCATAATAGAGACTTATTTCTTGTGATGAAATACTAGAGATCATAAGGAAGTAGAGAAAGAAAATGACCCGAGTGCTTTATAAGGGACAGTTTATTGGATCAATGCCTCTTTGTCTTATTAATCTGTGTTTTCCCAAATAGCCTGTGATTCTTGAATCACTGTGATCTCAGTCTCAATAGCCAGAAGTAGTATATATTAAAAGCTTTGGCCTGGGCAACGAGTCACTTGTTTAACAAACAAGACTCCTCTACTCTTTTTGCTGGCATTTCTGGACAATCTTTTATAAGTTATCAATTTCCTTTTTTTTTAAATCTGAGATCTTCCCTGACTACCTCCTACCATTAGACTGAGCTGATGTTCCTCTTTTGTATTTCCATAGCATTAAAGGGCAGCGGGGAGAGTATGTATCTTGTATTGTAATTGCTAGTTAATTCTTTGTCATTCTGGAATGTCTTTTTTAACTATGTATCCTCAGGACATAAACCAGCGCCTTACACATAGTCAAGGCTCAATAAACATTGTTTGAATGAATGGATGGTTGTGAGAAGTGACAGCATGCTGGCAGCCCTGGCAGCCCTCACAGCTCTCGCTCGCTCTCGGCGCCTCCTTGGCCTTGGCGCCCACTCTGGCCGTGCTTGAGGAGCCCTTCAGCCCACCGCTCCACTGTGGGAGCCCTTTTCTGGGCTGGCCAAGGCCAGAGCCGGCTCCGTCAGCTTGCAGGGAGGTGTGGAGGGAGAGGCGCGGGCGGGAACCGGGGCTGCGCGCGGCCCTTGCAGGCCAGCACGAGTTCCGGGTGGGGGTGGGCTCGGCGGGCCCCGCACTCGGAGCGGCCGGCCGGCCCGCAAGCCCCGGGAAGTGAGGGGCTTAGCACCTGGACCAGCAGCTGCTGTGCTCAATTTCTCGCTGGGCCTTAGCTGCCTCCCCGCGGGGCACAGCTCCGGACCTGCAGCACCCCCATGCCTGAGCCTCCCCCCACCCCCCGCCGTGGGCTCCTGCGTGGCCTGAGCCTCCCTGATGAGCGCCGCCCCCTGCTTCACAGCGGCCAGTGCCATTGACGGCCCAAGGGCTGAGGAGCGCGTGCGCAGAGCTCGGGACTAACAGGCAGCTCCACCTGCGGCCCCAGTGCGAGATCCACAGAGTGAAACCAGCTGGGCTCCTGAGTCTGGTGGGGACTTGGAAAATCTTTATGTCTAGCTAAGGGATTGTAAATACACCAATCGACACTCTGTATCTAGCTCAAGGTTTGTAAACACACCAACCAGCACTCTATGTCTAGCTCAGGATTTGTGAATGCACCAGTCCACACTCTGTTACCCAGCTAATCTAGCGGGGAGGTGGAGAACTTTTGTGTCTAGCTCAGGGATTGTAAACGCACCAATCAGCACCCTGTCAAAACGGACCAATCAGCTCTCTGTAAAACAGACCAATGGGCTCTCTGTAAAATGGGCCAATCAGCAGGATGTGGGTGGGGCCAGATAGGAGAATAAAAGCAGGCTGCCAGAGCAAGCAGTGGCAATCTGCTTTACGTGTTGTTTCGTGTTGTGGAAGCTTTAGTTCTTTTGCTGTGCAATAAGTTTTGCTGGTGTTCACGTTTTAGGTCTATACTACCTTTATTGAGCTGTAGCACTGGGAAAGTTTGAAGCTTCATTGTTAACACCAGCAAGATCATGAACCCATAGAAAAAGAAAAAACTCTGAACACATGCGAACGTTAGTAAAAACTAAATGCTGAGCACGCTGCCTCTAAAAACTAATACTTACTGAGGATCTGGTTTTATTCTTGAAGTCGGTGAGATCAAGGACCTACTAATTCTACACGCAGTTGGATGGTAAAATAGTTATGGCTCTGGGGCTTCTATGATAAAGTAACAGAGTGGGTAGCTTGTAAACATTTTTCGTGGTTCCGGAGGGTTAGGAGTCCAGGGTCAAAGTGCTAGCAGGTTTGGCATCTAAGGAAGGCTACCTCCGTGGTCCATAGATGATAACCTCCACCATACATACCATTGTGGGGGAAAAGGCAAGGAACTCTCTGGAACCCCTTTTATAGGGGCATGAATCCCATTCCTGAGGGCTCCAATGTCATGACCTAATCACCTCCCAAAGGGCCTTCTAATGCTCTAATGCCATTACTGTGAGCGTTGGGATTTCAACATACGAATTTGGGGAGGAATAAACATTCAGTCCATTACACCAATTTAACTGGTTTTAAGCATGAGAGAAAATATATGGGCTCATGTGAAAATTGGGACATTCTAAGGGTAGTTCTAGCTTCAGGCATGACTATGCAGGGATTCAAATTCTATCATGGGGGCTTGATCTTTCAGTGTGTCTTGGTTCTTCTGTCACCTAGATTTGTGTCATTCTCATGAAAGTTCTCTCCATATGGACTAATAATAAAGCCACAGAAGGTCCTATGCCAGGGTTTCCCATTGTGAATGCTAACGACATGTGGAGTGGATACTTTTTGTTATGTGGGACTGTCCCATACATTGCAGGATATATAGCATCCCTGGCTTCCGGGTATCAAATGCTAGCAGCACCTTCATACATTGGGACTAAATACGTCCCCCACATTTCCAAATGCCCCTTAGGGAGGCAGTATGGCCTCTAATTGAGAGCCACAACTCTAGGCTGACTTTATACCCACGGTTGTGATCCCAGAGAAGATGGCCTGATTCTCTATCACCTAGTGTCTATATCAGTTCCTGAAAAGGATTCTGATGAGCTCTGCTGGGCTTATGTTTCCACCCCTGAGCCAGTCACAGTCTTTAATGTGTAAAGGGCTTTGCCAGAGTGTGATTGGTCAATGTATAGTTATTGCTCCTGAGCAAATTACTCCAAAACTTAGCAACTTCAAATATGTATAACCTAAACCAATTTCTCTGGTCAGGAATCTGTGAGCAGCTTAGTTGGGTGATTCTGGCTCAGGGCCTCTTATGAGGCTGCAGTCAAGCTGTTGGCCAGGGCTTCTTCTCAAGGCTCAATGGGGGCTGGAGGATCTCGTCCACACTCACCGACATGGCTGCTTTCAGGCCTCAGTTCCTCACTGGCTGTAGGGCACCTTGCCATGTGGCCTCTTCACAGGCTGTCTGAGTGTCCTCTTCAAATGGCAGCTGGCATTTTCCAGAATGGCATATCCAAGAGGGAAAGAGAAGAGACAAGGAGAACCCATTGTAGAGCTGCAGTCTTGTAAAACCTAACCTTGAAAATGACATACCATCCTTTCTGCCATTATTGGTCACTTTAGAGCAGCTGTGGTCAATTGTAGGCAGGGGCTCCATGAGCGTGTGAATGCGAGGAGGCAGGACCCCTGTGGGGCACACTCAGAAGCTGCCTCCCTTAGACAACAAGGATGCAGTCTGTGCTCACTGCTGGACATAGAGGGTAAAGTCCCAGGAACAACAGCTCCAGGAAATCACAGAGGGTGGAGAGGGGCATTTCCCAAAAAAAAGGTCATGCAGTGCAAACCAAAAGTGTATGTCTGCCACAAATGAATACTGCAATCCACTTCCTCACCAGCTGACTCAAGGAGGGCTGCATAGGGTAAGTTCTAATAAAAATAGTGCTGTGAATTATTTCTGTCTATCTGTAGATCATCATTTGTCTCTTAAGGATCTTTTTCTACTGCCAACTGACATTCCTACTCAGCGCTTATTTGTGCAAAAAGCTTTCACAAGCAATTCAACTGCAGGCTTATAGATAGGTTTTGGAAATCTTGGGAGTAGATCAATATTTGAGTGTTTGTCTCATATAAATTTATTCTGACAGCTGCTTACTTCCTTTCCAAAATTCTCCTTTCTTTGGTGCTCTTTTAATTTTTTGAATGTATAGCAGGGAGAGAGCATCACTGTGTCCTAGTATGTTTTCACTGGAAAGAAGCAGAGGCAGCGTGCAGGACTGCAGGAGCAGCTGAGCTTACCACCAGATAAGACATGGCTGCTCAGAAGGAGGTATGTTGCTTGGTTCTGTGCATTCGGAGAGCTTTTCTGTAGTTGGTTTTCCCAGAGTCTGTGTTTTCTTATTTGGGATGAATGGCATACAGAGGCAAGGTGACTTTTTATGGCTTTGGTCTTTGGTGGAAGTACAGCCAGCTACTGAGCCATCCTGACACTCCACTGCCCCCAGGAAGGAGAAGCCACTGTTTGTCTTCCCACCCACCCTGCCGAACAAAGCCTGCCAAGCACTGTGTAACCAATGCCCAAGACATTTGATGAAAGGTTTGGCGTCATTGGAGCCTTCTCTCAAAGCTTTTGGAAAGTCATACAGGAGACAGATTACAAAGAAGTTTTGCTAGGGTTTAATCACACAAATGAGGAAACCAGGTTTCATTACTCCTTCGACCAACGAAAACAAAAATGCTAAGTGTGAGACCTTGTGTTAGTTAACCTTCCCCTCCCCTTCCCTCCCTTCCCTCCCCTCCCTCCCTTCTTCCCTCCCCTCCCCCTCCCTCCCTCCCTCCTTCCTTCCTTCCTTCCTTCCTCTCTCACTCTGTCACCCAGGCTGGAGTACAGTGGCACAATCACAGCTCACTGCAGCCTCCACCTCCTGGGCTTCAGTGATCCTCCTATCTTAGCCCCCTAAGTAGCAGGGACCACAGGCACACACCATCACACCCAGCTAATCTTTTGTATTTTTTTTTTTTTTTAAGATGGGGTTTCGCTATGTTGCCCAGGCTGGTCTTGAACTCCTAAGCTCAAGCAATCTGCCCATCTCGGCCTCCTAAACTGCTGGGATTACAGGCATAAGCCACCATACCCAGCCGTTAAGTCTGATTTCTTACATAAATCCTTTGTGTCAAATTGGGCACCCCATTAACAGTGAGTATTTTGTGCAATGTGGGAGAAGGTGTTTCTCCCTCTTGGGGCAGCCCAGCAGGTCACCAAGCTGAGACCAAGCTTTGCCAGTCTCTGGGTAGAGGTTCCCGGGAATGGAGTGTGTGGTGCAGTGTAGCAAAGGCATGTAGGTCTATGCACTGGACATTGCAACTGGTTTTCAAAAATGATTAGACATTTGAAAATGCCATCCTCTTATACTTACTTTGTCCCTGACATTTCTCACCCCTTTAACCTTCCAGGTAGCTGAATACAGAATAATAGAGTAGGTGAAGAAACACACCATCATTAGTAAATATGCTTGCCTTTCCTCCTGCTCGTTCCAATACAGACCAAAAAGGAGGGAAAGGAAGAGGCCATGAAGATTAATTTTGTTGTCTTAGCTGCTATTCATGAGGCCTGATGTTTCTGTTTTATATTTGTAATAATCCAGAATATTGGGGCAAAAGCTTATCCATGGCTGGATGGATCTATAGGATGTGGGATCATTCCTGAGAGTTCTGGGAGAGGTGGGGTTTGGGTTCGGATATCTCTGGAATTGTGGGTAGGATATGGTTTGTGTCCATGCTTTCCCCCAATACTTAGGCTCCAGCTTGTGATATTCCTCCCCTTGGTCCCTCACCCTGAAGTGAGCAACTGGCGGGGCTTCAAAAAGTCAGAGCCTCAAGCCTTGGTCTCAGACAGGCCTGACTTCAAATTCTACTAGCTGTGTGAGCTTGGATAGGTTACTTAACCTCTCTGGACTTCTGTTTTCTTATCTGAAGAATGGAGATAATCATTGATATGGTTTGACTCTGTGTTCCCACCCAAATCTCATCTCGAATTGGAATCCCCACGTTTGGAGGGAGGGACCTGGTGGGAGGTGATTGGGTCATGGGGGCAGTTTCGCCTGTGCTGTTCTTGTGATAGTGAGGGAATTCTCACGAAATCTGATGGTTTAAAAGTGGCAGCTTCCCCTATGCTGTCTCTCTCCTGCTGCCATGTAAGATGTGCCTTGCTTCCCCTTCACCTTCTGCTACGATTTTAAGTTTCCTGAGGCCTCCCCAGCCATGTGGCACTGTAAGTCAATTAAACCTCTTCTCTTTAAAAATCACCTAGTCTCTGGTAGTATCTGTATAGCAGTGTGAGAATGGACTGGAGCGAGGATTGAATCGGGTAGTGCAGTGAATGGCAGACCTTGCGGAGGGTCCGCTTCTCTTGTTCTAGCACCCAGGATGGGCCGTCCTCAGGGTGTGGCCCCAGGAGCTCCTGGCTTCAGAATGGCAGAGCCAGTGTGGCCTTACTGCTCACAAGGTAGGCATCCCTCTTTGGTTCTTTTTTTTTTTTTGAAGACGGAGTCTTGCTCTGTCACCCAGGCTGGAGTACAGTGGCATGATCTCGGCTCACTGTAACCTCTACCTCCCAGGTTCAAACAATTCTCCTGCCTCAGCCTCCTGAGTAGCTGAGATTGCGGGCACCTGCCACCATGCTCAGCTAATTTTTGTAGTTTTAGTAGAGATGGGGTTTCACCATGTTGGCCAGGCTGGCCTCCAATTCTTGACCTCAGGTGATCCACCCACCTCGGCCTCCCAAAGTGCTGGGATTACAGGCATGAGCCACCGTGCCCGGCACCTCCTTGGCTCTTAAGGGTCAAAATACAGTGTTGTTGTTGCTGTTGTTTTTTCATCAGTCTTCATTATTTTAGTTTCGATGGAGGGAGGCTGTAATGTCCCAAATGCTTTATCTTGGGCAGTGGGATCAGCATAGCCCTTGGAATCACCTGCCACCTACAGTGTTGCTGGAAGAAGCAGCACCCCGCCACATGCTCTTTTTTTGAGGTTTTGCCTCAGTAAATCCTTACGAGGCTCAGGCAGACAATTTATCCCATCATTTGGCCGTGATTTTTGTTAATAGAAGAAAGGTAGTAATTGTGGAATGCAGCCTGCAGGAAGTAAACAAAATACTTCCCTGCTTAATAAGCCTTTCATTCATTTTCTCAATCTCCTGCTGGGTTTGTCTTTGTCTTTTTCTTTTTCAAAATGGAAAAACCATTTTGTTGATTTTTTCCCTCATTGAAAGACTTTAATGGAAGAAATATTATGGGATATTTAGTCCTCTGCCTCCTTTCTCCTCCCTGAAGCTCTGCTTCAATCATATCAAACTGGCTGCAGCTGGGGCTTCAGAACCCAGCTGAGAATAAAACCGGGATAGAGTGGAGCACCACGCTGCCATTTTGCTCCCTGGGGCTGTACACGGTGGGGCAGGCTTTGTCCTAGATCCCAAAACAGCGGTGCTGAGTGTTCTATGTGCAGAGCTTTATGCAAATACCTGCACACTTCTGCCTGCATCTCACCCTGGTCCATAAAACTGGACCACCAGTGCCTGAAGACCATACTAATCAGGAGTGGGGAGCCCAGAAAACAAGCCTGCCCAGCTCCTGCCTGCAGGAGCTCTCAGTCTGATCTGCAGAGGAGGTATAGGCCTTAGATGGGAGGCCATGGGGACCGCATTGCTAACAGCTGTGGTGAGTGGGGCTTGGGGAAAGTAGGGGAGCTGTTGAGTGGTGGGATGGGGATCTGCTCTTCCCTGGATGCTCCAGGCTGAGGCAAATCACTTGAAAAGGGCATTGTTTGGAGCTCTGCATTCACAATCATATCTGAGACTGAACTAAGGGAAGAAAAACAATGAAGGGTGGGGAAGGGAAGGAGTTAGAAGAACAAAGTAGGCAGCAGCCCTATTTGCGAGCCCTCTGCCTCTCAGTGAGTGCTTTTTTTTTACAGGAGCCCAAGCTCTTCCTTTCCCTGAGGTTTCTGCAGACACTGACAGGAGTGATGCAGAGGCTGGAAGTGTAGAGCTGTAGGACAGACTGATCCTCAGCCTCCGGAAGAGGGGCCTTTGAAAGCTCAGCCCTCGGGTCCCTGCTAAGGTGTGCACCGCAGCCCCAGCAGCCTGAGCACAGCCTTTCTACTCACACTGAGGACTAACTTGATGACATCCTGCCCATCTTTGGGTTCGCTTGCATTTGCTGCCAAGACTAAGGCATAGCCATTGTCTAGGTCTTTCAGCTTTTGAAACATTTTCCTCTACTTCCTCTATCAGACAGTATCTAAATGACACCAATAAGTGAAACTGAAGCAGTCAGATCTGTGGCCCCGTTTAGGGTTTGGCAATGAATGATAGTGAAGGTGGCTTCCCGGGCCCATCCCGAATGTTTAATTCACTCTTGCGTCAGTGAGCTCACCCCTCACAACTGCCACATTAGCAACCTCACTCTAATAACTTTCCTGGCAAAGGCAGAAGTGACAGCCCAACCTCAATCATTACATCACTCCCCAACCCCTTCGCATAGACCGCCTCCCATGGCTTACCACAGCATCTGAAAACACCCATGGCGCTGAGGCTGGCGTTGCCACTTGCAATGATCTGGCCCCTGCTGCCTTCCCAGCACCTGCTCCACCCCACCTTCACTTAGTCTCTGTTCTAGGAAAACTGTATCCACTCTTCCTGAACATTCTCTGTACCTTCCCACTTCTCTGCTTTTCCTTAAGGGGTTCTACCACAGGAATACCCTCCACATCTCTACCTGCTGAAATCTCATCGTCCTCCAGGGCACAATGCAAATGTGATTTTCTTGATGAAGCCCTTCGTGATTTCTGCAGCTTCATTATGACTTTCTGAACTTGTGTCTCCTTGTTCATTCCTGACCATGGTTCACACCCTAAGCCCTCATCTTTGATATGGGTCATCAACTTTCTGGACCAACTTTTTAAAAACAAATATGCATTGAAGGCTTACAGTGTTCCCACTACTTTGCAGAGATTGGCAATGGAAAGATGATTAAGAGACTGAATGTGTCTTTGAGGACATCAAAAATCCAGGCAGGTAAACAGCTAATTACAATGAAATGTGCTAAGACACAGGAACAGGATTCTGGGAGTACACAGAGATGGACAAGGGCCCAAAGCTACTGAAGTTCCTGGTGTGTGCAAGGAATAGTTGCTAGTCTCTGGGTGGTTAGAGGAAGGACTTGTATAGGGGTGCATTGGGAAGTGAAGCTGGAAAACCATGATCCCAGATTGTAAGGGAATTTGTGGGTCAAGCTATTTTGCAGGCAATAAGAAAGCATCAGAAATCATGGAGCAGGGGAGTGATGGGTCAGAGCTGAATTTCACAAAGGCTCCTTTGACCTGAGCAGGTTCTACTCCTGGCCCAATTACAGCTGAGTTCCTGAGTACCCAGCAACCGCAGGGTGCCTGGCTGTTCCCTGGCAGCAGTGGGGTTCTGTCACATCAGCCATCAGTAGGGAGTTCCTGTCTCATTGCCTCCACATGCGTTCCGAAAGCCAAGTGCAGGAAGTGAGCATGTGGATTAGGAGTATGTCCAGGCAGAGATGCTGGCCCCAGTAGGGCCTATAATCATAATGGGGTCCACATATGTGGCCTGTTAAATCCTGCCTATCCTCGATAGGCATTGAGAAATGAGTGGTCCCTCCATGGGGCGAGGTGGGAAGAACCAGGATATGGCTATGAACAGTAGATACTAGGACTGCCCTGCCTAGAGTGGTGGAGGAGCTAATCAGGCCCAGGTAGTAGCCTAGGTCCATGGAGTGGACCCACACTGGAAGGGCGAGGCATGCTCAGTATGAAAGCTTGTAGGTCTTGCCTCGTTGACTAGCACCCAGATATGGTTGGCAGCCGAGAAAATGCCCATGGGCAGCTGGAGCTTGCCGGAGCCCAGAAGTATATATGGGTCACTCGATCCTCATGGGGAAGGGGGTGCAGCTGAATTCCACGCCATGTGGCCGAGGATGCTGATTTATTTCCTGTTGCTGTCAAATCAGGCTCAGGTGCTAGAGGGGGGCAGCCGCAGCTGTGGCTGTGGGTGGCTGAAGAAGGCAGAGGCAGGGGAAATGAGGCAGGGCCGACAGTTGTCCTGGTATCGTGTAGACTTTCTTAAATTAGCTATGTGGAGAGGAAGTAGGAATGAAGAGCCAGAAAGTCAGCAGCCAGACTTTTCCATACCATCTGGGATGGGAAGCAGAAAGCTGCCAAGAAAAACCATGTGCTGGAGCTAATTGGTAGGACTTGGAAGCAGAAGTAACATAGCACCCTACTAAATCAAGAGGCTTTTTTCTTTTCTTTTTGTTTCTCCTTTCTTTTCTGCTTTTTCTTTTCTCTTTCCATTTATTTTCCTTTTCTTCTTTTTTTCTCCTCTCACCCTTCCTTTCCCTTCTCTTCGCTTCCCTTTCCTTCACTTCCCTTTTCCTTTCATTCTTTTCTTAAACATATAAATCTATGGAGCCTCAAAGAAATGGTACTACTAAGAAATTACAGATCTAAAGATTCGGGATAATAATGTAAACCAGTGAGCCAAGATTAAGCTGAGTCACATTTGATAGTTTAATGTAAGAAGATGCTAATTTTGAGTGTAGAAGTTTAATTTTTAAAAATATTGCTACAAATTAGATTCCTAATTTGTAATGCCATTTTAAGGGATATTATCTTTAAGAGAAAGTCATCGCAATTGGATCATTGCACGCCTTAAATTCTTAATTTAAAAGAAAATTACTCACGATGAGGAACAGTTAACTGTGAGGTCTATGCCACTGTATCGGGTACAACCAGCCACCTGGTGTAGCGAACACTCCACGTCTTGGAGGAATTAAGGAGTTTTTAGATAGATACATTCTTTTTAACCTTATTCAGATACCTCAAAGGTCTCATAGAGAATTTGCACTTCTCAGGGATGAAGTTTTTCTTTTTTTGTAATCTGTCCCCAAGAAGATGAGGGAACCGGGGCTTTAAGGAGTTGTAACTAAGCTGACAGCTAATGGTTTGAAAAGCCAGCATCTAAGGAGGCTTTCTCCCTCCCCCTCTTATTTCCTTCCCCCTCCCTCCATTCTTCTTTCTTTCCATTTATTTACTCTTTGCTTATGGCTCTAGTTCTTTTTATTTTTTTTCCTAAAAAAAATATCAACATAGGAAGGAACTGCTCTTTCCAAACCTACCTATTATGTGTCTGTTTCTTTAGAGATAGAGGACAGGCATCATTAATTGCAGAATAACACTTTAATAAACCTTTGGGTTATGAAACGCATATACCCCAGACCATCTTCTGGAATAGAGTGGTTTAAGACAACAAGGATATACAAATTTTGTGAAATTAATATGTCTTCATTGAGGGCAGAATTGCACATCTCAGATGATTTTTCTCCTAGAAACAACTTTTTTTTCTTCTTCTATGGGAGCCTCAGAAAATATCTGCCTGGACTCAAAGTTGGAGAGACATGGTTCTTTGGGAACCGAGTTGGCCTCTTCACTGTGACCACAGAGAATGGTGTCTAGTGGGGACCTTGAAGAAGGCTTGACCCCTGGGCTCCAAGAGTAGCCAAACCTCCTGTTATCCCCATCAAAACGTATTTATGTCATCAAAACTTAATTAATCATTACAATCTATAATTAGAACTAACAAGTAGTGCAGGGTTCAAGCTTGGGCAGAGAGCCAGACGGCTGATGAGGTGACCCTCACGGTGAGGACAGCATTCCTGGGGGAGTCCCAGGAGTACCAGGCTTGGACCGCTGTTTTCAGGGCATTATTGAGCATGTGAGCCTTGAAGGGTGGAGGAGTCTGGGACACCTCGGTGTCAGGCAGATCCATGGAGCCACTCTTCACGCTTCCGTGTGCTCACAGTACTACCCTACAGTCACTGGCTCAGATTCTTGGCAAAAGGAGACAGGACGTCATTCCTGCCTCCTGCCATCAGAAAGGGGGCCAGCCGCAGGCCTGAAGTCAGTTTCACGGAGGTGGGTGGACCAGAGCTATGACTTGAACAAAGTACATCCTTACATCTTTCTGATTGTCCACTTCCCTGGCACCTGTTACTTACAGTTTGCTCTCCTACTAACACTTAATTTTACACTCTTCTGATTATGCTCAGATTTCTCTCTCCCCAGCCAGGTTGAACCTCCATGAAGGCATCCTTCCTCTACCAGGGTTTCCATAAATACCTGCAGAAGAGCAGCCTGATGCCATAGTCCTGCGGTTTTCCACAAGATCTATTTGAGGTACAGCAGAACCATAGCTTAGAGACTTGGGATCAGAAAGTCAGAAAACGCCCAGTTCCTTAGCCCAGAATAGGCCGTTCCACACCAAGTCTAACCCTCTGAGGATCCACCTGTCCCTCATTTTTCTAAAAGGTGCTTGCAAGTCTGCACAGGTGAAGAAAGGAGAAGATAATTCCCAAGAGTGCCAAAAAGCACCCCCCGCCCCCCATCCCTGGCCCCTGTGGCAGAAACTACCCCTTTTAAAAAGTCACACAAATGGGAAAAAAACACTGGATTTCAGCTCAGCAGTTTTGGAATCAGAAAAATCTGGATTTGAGTCCCCAGTGTATCATTCTCTGGTTGTATGACCTTGGGTAAGCTGTTTTACTTACGTGATTTTCAGAATAACTGGAGAAGGAGGTGTTTTCATTTCCATTTAAAAAATAAGGAAAATGAGGCTGGGTACAGTGGCTCAAGCCTGTAATCCCAGCATTTTGGTAGGCAGAGGTGGGAGAATCGCTTGAGCCCAGGAGTTCGAGACCAGCCTGGGCAACATGACAAAACCTCTACAAAAAACAAAAAGCAAAAAATTAGCTGAGTGTGGTGCATGCCTGTAGTCTCAACTACAGGCTGAGGTGGGAGAATCGCTGAGGTGGGAAAATCGCCTGAGCCCGACAGGTCACAGCTGCAGTGAGGCATGATTTTACCACTGTACTCCAGCCTAGATGACAGAGTGAGACCCTGTCAAAATAAAAAAAAAAGGAAAGGAAAATGAGACATGAGACTAACTGAGGCTATGGGAGTAAAATGTGGAGCGTGATGCATGTCCATGTGCAGTATGTGGAATGTGTTCAATATACAGAAGGTACTTGCTGTCGTTAGAGTTTATTTCCTTGGAATAATGATGGTGATGATATGAAGAAGTCTTATGTTTATATAGCTCTTCAAAATTTACAAAGGACTTTTAATTATCCTCAAGAGAGTCGTATGCATTTAAAGAGCTGGTCCTGGAGAAACAGGCCTTGGCTTCCTTACAGGCAATTGATTTTTTTTATTTCAAGAAAGATAAGTCATTTCTTACTCCTTACTAACACTGATGCTTCCGTTGTGTGCCACTAAACAGAGGCATGGTCTTGGTACAAAGCCCTGGGGAGAGCACAGCTATCTCCTCTTGGTCCCAATGCCCCCACCTGACCCAGACCAGAGATTCCAAGAGAGGCAGTGGTATGGAGGCCCACCTGGCACGTGCTGCGTGGAGATAAGGAGGGGCTGGACGCGTATCCCTAAAATGGAAGAGCTTTCCCATGAACCCCAGTTCCTTATTCCTGGACCTTAAACAGTTTATCATTTCATTGCTGTCTTTTGGTCTTCTGCAGTGGGTTGAATGGTGTCCTCCTCCCCAACAAAAAACACATCCACTAGGAACCTGTGACTGTAATTTTATTTGGAAAAAGAGTCTTTTCAGATATAATTAAGAAAGGCCGGGCTCGGTGGCTTACGCCTGTAATCCCAACACTTTGGGAGGCCGAGGCGGGCAAATCATAAAGTCAGGAGTTTGAGACCAGCCTGGCCAACATGGTGAAATCCCGTCTCTACTAAAAATACAAAAAGTTAGCTGGGCGTGATGGTGGATGCCTGTAATCCCAGCTACTAGGGAGGCTGAGGCAAGAGAATCGCTTGAACCTGGGAGGCAGAGGTTGCAGTGAGCTGAGATTGTGCCACTGCACTCTAGCCCAGGCAACAGTACGAGACTGCATCTCAAAAAAAAAAAAAAAAAGAAAGAAAGAATCTCAAGATGAGATCATCCTGGATTATTCAGGTTGACCCTAAATCCAATGACAAGTATCGGTATAAGAGATAGAAGAAAAGATAGGGGCACACACAGGAGAGGGCCATGTGAAGACGAAGGCAGAGATTGGAGTGAGGCTGCCACAAGCCAAGGGATGCCTGGAGCCACCAGAACTAGACAGGCAACAATGAAATTTTCCCTAGAACCTTCGGAGAGAAAACATGACCCTGCTGAAACTTTGATTTTTGGAGTTCTAGCTTCTAGAACTTTAAGAATAAATTTGTTGTTTTAGCCACATCGTTTGTAGCAATTTGTTTCAGCAGCCCTAGAAAACTAATATACCTTTTCCCTCTCTCTCTCTAACACACACACACACACACACACACACACACACACACACACACACACACACTCACACACTCTTCCACCTTTAAAAAAAAAGAAGAAGATGAAAACAACATTAAGGGGGAGAAATACTGAAGTATTCATATGCCCAGAAAAGTAACGTCTCCCCTACTCGAGGGCGAGACCCCTGGAAAGAATTTCTCCCTCCCTACTCTCTTTCTCTGCTCCCTCTAAAAGGTTGGAGAAAGGCTGTCAGGTTTATTCAGCTGTTTTACGTGCTTCCCCCATTTGTATTCCCTTCCAACTCATCCATTTCTCTCAATCACAGAAGGGACTTGCCGAGCAAAGCCTGACATTTTCCAGTTCTTGGGTCTGTGCCTGGAATCAACAGCCCTCACCAGGAAGGCAGAATGAATTCCCAGGATGTCAGCACAGAAGCCCTTGGGCTGCCTGGCTGTGGCTTCCCTTCCCGCCCCTGGAACCAGTGCAGGGTGATGCCAGGCTCCACGTGAACAGATGAGTGCTCCCTGAGCAGGATCATAAATCCTGCCTAAGCAGCCCTGGTGGCTTCAGGAGAGTCAACACCAGAGTGGTCCCCTTCACTCAGGATGGCCAACCTTTAAGAAAGGTTAGACGGATTTAAGGTGCAGCTTTGTGTCTGTTTGCTGGCCAAAATTTTAGTTTACCCAAAGCCCACAAGACTTCTGAAAGCTCCCTTATCCATGCGTGGGTCCAAGGTTTCCGTGATGGAGAATGTGGCCCCAGTGTAGCTGACATCACTGGTTCATCAAATGAGCTAGACTTGATGCAGAGTAAGCAAAAAAAAACAAAAACTGATGCTCCTCATCATTACCTCAACTCACCGACATATATATCTATCCAATTAACAGCTTTCTTGACCAGGTTTAGGTCCTAATAAGCAGTCTCATTTTTTTAGGGTTAAAAAAAGTCTAATTTAATCTAATATGAAAGCTCTAGGGTCTCCCATTTAAAGATTCTTGCCCTCAGTCCAGTGTTGACCTGCATTAGTCTTGGAAACCCACATTGGAGGAGATAGCAGAGTGGTCTGCTTCTTCAGGATTTGTCTCCCACCCTACACTCATCTCCCACCCCCTAAGCTGACTTGTTCTCCATGGGGAGACCTGCTCTACCTAGAGGAAGAGCAGGGAGATAAAGTGCAGGAAGGGGAGACAGGGCCCAAATGCTAGCTCTGATTATGGTGAGTTCTGTGAAAGTGTCCCCCTGGGGAACCCCCTTGGAGTCCCCTGCCCACTGCATGACTCACAGGTGCAGGTGATGCCCACTGCATGGCTCATGGATACAGAGGTGCAGGTGATGCCCCCTGCATGGTTCATGGGTGCAATGGTGCAGGTGATGCCCCCTGCATGGCTCCTGGGTACAATGGTGCAGGTGATGCCCCCTGCATGGTTCACGGGTGCAATGGTGCAGGTGATGCCCCCTGCATGGTTCATGGGTGCAATGGTGCAGGTGATGCCCTGCATGGTTCATGGGTACAATGGTGCAGGTGATGCCCCCTGCATGGTTCACGGGTGCAATGGTGCAGGTGATGCCCCCTGCATGGTTTGTGGGTGCAATGGTGCAGGTGATGCCCTGCATGGTTCATGGGTACAATGGTGCAGGTGATGCCCCCTGCATGGCTCATGGGTACAGTGGTGCAGGTGATGTCCCCTGCATGGTTCATGGGTGCAATGGTGCAGGTGATGCCCCCTGCATGGTTCACAGGTGCAATTGTGCAGGTGATGCCCCACAGGCCTGCCATTTTGATTGTTCCTCCCAGCTTCTACTTTTGGAGATCCACCCTTCACAGACTCTTCATTTGTGGTCACTTCTGGCTGCAGGTGGACCTGTTGGGAGGGACCCTTTCAAGACAGCTCAAGCTTCATGACCTTCTGCAGCAATTGCTCTGGTTCATAGGGAGCACACATTCACCCCTCTGAACTCGGAAAAGCAGGCTGCTTATACTTTGTTCTCCCACCCTATACCCAAGGGGGCCTCAGGTCAGACTTTTGTTTTCAGAATGCTACAGACAGGCTGAGATCAGGCACCCTCTCTCTCTGGGTCCTCCAGATTCCAGGGGCCACATCATGTTCTGCAAGTATTTCTCTAAAAACCCCTTCACCTGACTTCAGGAACCCCTGTCCTTTTCGTAACATGGGTGAGGGAACACCCAGCCCTCCAGACCATCAGGAATCCTGCCTTGCACCTGCTCCCTGATCGCTCTCACCCCTGGCGCAGAGCCTGCAGGCAGCCCTGGGCTCGAGGTCACACGCTTGGTTTAGGGGACCCATAGGCAGTCCTCCGTAGATGGTGCAGCGCCTTTTGTAGAGTGCAGATGCATTTGCTGCCTCTGAATCTCCTCTTTGGGGCATCAGCAGAGGACTCACTGACTACATGACTACACCTTCAGAGTACTCTCATTCCCCCAGTCCTCCCTGTGGCCATTCTACAGCCCCTTTAACCCTCGCTGCCTGGTGTCCATGCATTCTCCATCAGCTCACAAGCTCCCCCATGGAATAACTGATGAGCTCCAGTCCTAAGGCTGTCTCGAGAAGCTACAAATTCTGCCAGTCAATGTCACTAGTGTCTCTGTCCCTCTGGGCATGGTGACTCTCACCTGTAAGCTACTCGAGAGGCTGGGGCAGGAAGATTGTTTGAGCCTGAGATTTCGAAACCAGCCTGGGCAACATGACGAGACTCCATATTGTCTCTGTCTGCCCTGGCTCCTGATGACTTCTCCGGAGAGAGGGCTGAGATGGGGTCAGAGAGAGGAACAACAGCAAGGTGCCTGTGGGCACCTCCATTTCAGGGAGGTTCCTCTTCACCTGCAATGTGGGGCCATGGGTGCTTTTCAAGTGCATATAAGAAGACTTGGAGTCCACCCTGGAGAGTGCTTCTCTGGCTGAACTCCCAATCTAGTCTGCGTGAAGGAAGGCAGATTTCTTCTGATAACAATACTTTGACCCAAATCTCTGCCAAACAGTGACCTGGGGCTATGACGCTACGTCTAGTCAGATTCCCTCTTCAATACGAATGGTACCATGTTCCAATCATTCCTTCTGGAGTCGGAACAGAGGAATATTTTGTTCGTTGTCCTGTTGGAGACAAGTGGGAAGTCATCTGGCGAGGAGGGAGAAGGTGAGAGGGTGAGAGTTTGAGGCAGAGGAAGGGGCAGGAGCCCATATTGGGAACTGCAAGCGGTAACGCTTAGCTGGTTGTAGCATGCATGGGGGCGTTCGGGAGAAGGGGCAATGGAGAAAGCCGAGGCTGGGTGAACAAGCAAGAAACCAGTTATGTGGGGTTTTGATGGTCATGCCAGGGATTCTGAGTTTTGTTCTAAAGGCAATGGGAACTTCAGCTATATTAGGGGTTTTAAACAGGGATGACATGAGCAGCTTTATGTTTTAGAACAAGTACTCTGCCCCCTGAAGCGTTGGTGCCTCTCTCGAGGCAGGGAGGCCAGGTATGAGGCTGCGGCAGAAGACCAGGGAGCGGTCATGAGGCAGTGAGATTAAGAAAGTGGGATGCCTTGGAGAGAGAGCCAGGAGGTGAGGTCAACAGAGTGGCAATGTTGTGTAGTAGGAGGTAGGAGTGAGAGGAGCCTGGCTTGGGGAAATGGGTGGATGGTGGTGGCATTCCTTGGGGTAGGGAACACAGCACGGGCACATGGTGTGTGTGGAGGTGCACAGTATGATCTGGTTCCTGTTGGGGTCCCCCACCCTGCTAAGAATGGTCCTGGACCCCCCACTTCACTGGATAGCCCTCTGTCCCTCGCTTGTCCTCATTTCACTAGGGAATAGCACAGTTGTAGAATAATTCTCAGGAGTGGCTTGTCCCTCCTTCCTCAGCTAGGGCCCAATGGATACACCCACCTCGAGGCCGGATCGTCGTAGTGTTGCAACGGCACTCCCTGTCTTGGGATGCCCTTTGGGTAAGACAGCTCCTGCAAGGTGTGGTGTCTATACACGTTGGAATAAAAAGTACCTTTGAGGTCTGTATATTGGATGTTCTACCCTGGTGTAGCTCCATTTGGTCTGCCACTTGGGGAAATTGGGTCCGATCAGAGGTCTAATTTTATCAGACGTACAAAGCTCTTATTTAGCTTTTTCTTTGTTACCTTTGCTTATTTATTTAGCACACTCAAAGTTTAAAAACGTAATAGACTGAAGAAAAATCACCTATGGCAGGGGTTGGCTAAATATCAATCCTGTTTTCTCTTCCAGGCACCCTGGGAGATTGCATTTCCCAAATTCCATTCTACTTAGGCTGGGGCCAGATGACTGGGTTTTCGCCAGTGGAATGTGGCTGGGAGAGATTCAAGCTGCTTCTGGGCCTGGCATAAAAACCCGACATGCTCCTTCTTCCCCTTCTGTGACAACGTGGAAGTCCACGTGTTTAAGATGGTGGCAGCATAAGATGGAAGGAACTTAGATTCCTGAGTCACCTCCTGGAAGTGAGCTACCAAACTGCTTTCCATGTGATTTGAGTAAGGAATAGGCCTATATTGTACCAAGCCACTGAGATTTGGGGGTTGTTGTTGCAGTTATTTATCCTAACATACTAATACAGCAGTAGATCAAGGTATTCTTCTATGACAGTAAGACCTCTCTTCTGCTGATTTTCTGTATTAAAACTTGCCTGCTGGGTCATGGGCTCATGAGAGGACAGACAGGACATCGTACAACTTCTCTAGCTAAGCTCATCAGCCTCTCATTGTACTACTTTGAAAACAGAATGCACATATTTTAATGTGTATATGCACACAGACATATTTCTAAAGCTAATTCTTGAAGTATGCACTGGCTGACAAGTACATGCTTCGAAGGAATTTGTAAATACTAGACCACAGTCAAGAAAAACAGAGTTCAAAAAATCTGTGTGCTTCCAGACAGGATTTTTTTTCAGAATTGGAAGTATAATGACGACCCCTCATGGGGCATACCCTGAAACCAACCCTCATCTCAGTACTTCTCTTTTGGAGGGAGCGACTTCTGTTGTACCTTAAATATTCTCCCCTGTCACCATCATCACGGGGACAGCTTGGCATATCTTTCCCTCCCTGCTCAAGGGTCAGCATGTAAGCAGTGGGGACTCAAGGTTAAGATGACCAGAGACAAAAGCGAGGAATCAGAACCATTGTGTATGTAAACAGAAGACTGAAGTTACAATACTTGACGATTTTTCTCTTCTCTAAGGGAGGGAAGTTAATTTTGTCCCCACTGAAGGGTTTTTACGTGATGTATCATCAGCGGAGTGAAGGGTGGGGAACCTGTTTCTATGAAGGGCCACTGAAACCACAGGCAGAAAAAAAAATCACCATATAAGATTTCTTTTTCGAGGCAGAATATCACTCTGTTGCCCAGGCTGAAATGCAGTAGTGTGATCTCGGCTCACTGCAGCTTCCACTTCCTGGGTTCAAGTGATTCTTGTGCCTCAGCCTCCCAAGTAGCTGGGATTACAGGTGTGCACCACCATGTCCGGCTAATTTTTTTGTATTTTTAGTGGAAATGGGGTTTTGCCATGTTGGCCAGACTGGTCTTGAACTTCTGATCTCAAGTGATCCACTTGCCTTAGCCTCCCAAAGTTTTGGGATTACAGGCGTGAGCTACTGCACCCAACCACAGTATAAGATTTTTTGAAAAATTATTCACATCCCAAAATAAATTATAAAAGCTCATTATTTCTAGTTCATAGCCATGTAAGAGAAATAGATGTGGACCTGTTGGTATAGAGGTAGGGAGTTGTAGCTGGCCCGGTCGAGACAGAGATGGAAAAGAATTGGGAAATGATGGCAAGAAAAAGCCCCTCTCACTGTCTCCCTTCCTCTTTCTCTCTCAATTTCTTTGTTTCAATCTCTCTTCCTCTCTCTCTCTCTCTCTCTCTCTCTCTATGCACATGCCCTAAAGCTATCACTCATATTTTAAAATGAGAAAATATTATCTGAAACGTCTCTAAAATGCTTTACCTTCTCCCCAAGATCTGGAAACCGCAGGTGCTTTGGAAAGTTTCTCTTTTTCTCATTTTCTGATAAAAAATTCAGGTTAAAAACACCCAGCTCCAGGTTTTAGTCAACCCGTGTATATATAAATGAGCTGTGGTACTCCTCATTTCTAAGTATAAAGTCGTTCTCTCTTTTTCTGGTTTTAAAAAACTTTTCAGGCTAAAATCACAGATTTGGGATTTAAATTTTGTGTGTTGTTACTAGAAAAGCCTCTGAAACATGTGGATTTATGCTGTGTATGCCAGATGGGCGGTAGTTGGAACCAGAGCTGACTCATGGTTTGGAAGCCACATATTTCCAGTTTGGGGTTGTGTTGTTTTGCTTTTGTTTTTAAACCCGGCATCTTTCAATAGAGCTTGGGAGAGGAATTAGCAGAAGAGGATTCCAATCCATTCACCATTTGGGTGATCTGGATCCCTGAATTTTGCAGCTCTGGACTGAATCTCCAAGTGATCACCTAGTTCTTGCATTCAAAGCTTCTTGGACACTGACTGACCCTCACTGGGGCAGAGCCGCCCTAATTTGTAGGGTGTGTTTGTCGGCTTGCTGTTGCTCACTGTCCTTTTTAGGCAATGGCCCCTCTGTTGCTTGACAGCTTGTGATCACCTGCAGAGGATGGGAAGCGACAGCTGAGCCTTGCGTTGAAGACATAAGCTTCTGAAAAAGGTTTGGGGAAGCAAATTCAATGCCGCCTGAATTTAGATGACTTATGGATTCAAACCCTACCTTTATTAGATTATTTGTGGGTTGAAATTCTAAAGTTAATTCAATCAAACATCTAGTAAAAATGTTACAAAATCAGCTACATGAGTCTGACATCATTGAAATGAGACCCGCTCACATAATTTGATTATCTTTTCTCCTTACGGTCGTCACTGTAGAAATTTTTGCCCTACATAGTGAGGAAGCTGGGGCCATGTGCCGTCCAACATAACAACTGAGCTTAAACCAGAATCCCTCATGAGCTTCAGTTTTAATATACTCAAAATATTATGCATTACATGGAAATAATACATACTTGGTATTTAGGGACAGAGTCTCATTCCGTAGCCCAGGCTGGAGAATAGCGGTGCAATCATAGCTCACTGCAGTTTTGAACTCCTGGGCTGAAGTGATTCTCCTGCCTCAGCCTCCCAAAGTGCTGTGATTACAGATGTGAGCCACTACACCCCACCACACTTGGTATATTTATACCTGTAAAATATTAGAATAAACAAGTATCCTTGTAAATAAGAAGTTGACTTCTTGAGTTGGTTTCATTATGAAAATGCATATTACAGACACATTTCCTCCACCATCGTTTAAAGAAACTGAATATTCACAATTGTCCTGTTTGTTGCCTCTGACTAATATGACTTACAACAGGATGCAGGGTCAGGACAAAATGAGAACTAGAGCTGGTTCGTTTGTATTCTGGGGTATTTATACTCTGCAAAAAAATGATGCTCCTGTACTTGCAGTGTGTATCCATAGATCATAGTTGAAATTCTACACCGAATGAACTTATCAGCTGCCTTTTTTCATCACGTTCATTGCCTCTGACAGATCTATCCCCAGCTGGTGTTGACTTCTCCCTACAGTGCAGGGAGATCATTAATCTTGTATGTTCTCTTACTCCAAGGCCTTTTTTTCTTCTTTGCTGAGGTTTTAAAACAGATTGTGCCTGTTTCCACAGGCCTTTGAGAGATCTGTCATGTGTCCTCTTTTAAGCAGGTTGTGTAAAAACCAATTACTTGAGTATAGCTGGGGTCATGGGCATTCTGTTACCAGGGTGGGAACCTTGATTTTCTCATTCTTCCCTATGTCAAAATCAGAGTGAGGGCACTACCAACAGAAGCATTTATTACTTAGCAACTGAGAGATGCTTTCAAGACATTCTGATTGGTGATTCTTCTCCAGGGTTGGGGGAGTATCTCCATCTTGCCTCCTGGGCTGCATTGATAAGGAGCTGGACACCTCACCAAATCGTGAGTGAGAACTGCCCATAGTGAGTGAGAATGCAATTCCGAGGGCCTCAGTCACCAACGTAGACCTCCTTGTAGCTGAACTTGGCAATTGGCAAGTCTCTCGGCTGTGGAGAGAGAAAGATTGTGTCTGCACAAGCAGAATAGAGAAGTGCAATAGAATTATCTAGTGGAGGCAGGTGTTTAGAGAACTGTCAATACTTGTTGAATGAAAGGACAGGTGTACAAAACTGGACAATACACCTTAGACTTAATAAGCACTTCCTTCCCAGTAGCTGGTTATTTGTTTCTTCCCAAATTATTTAGGGAATCATCTCAACTGCCCATTTTATATCATCTCCATTTTCCGTAGCAAGAAGCTTATTGCTTTAGTATCATTATTTAAAAGTGACAAAGACACACCACTTATTGAATGTTTATACTGCTTTCACCCCACATTAAAGCTCTTCATGAAATTAAAAGCAAATGATGACAGAGCTGCAGAGACCAAGGCTACATGCTCCCGTCAGACTTAATCCTCCATCAAAACATATCTCTTCCACGTTCCTTTAACCTGGAGACTGAGAAGTGGGAAGTGACCCACAGGGGCCCACTCAAAATCTCCTTTAAGCTCTCATTCTGAGACTTTTGGTACAGGCACCAAACAGATTGCTTTACTACATTGACAAATCCGTGCTGAACCCTTTTCCGTGCTCAGTTGTGACATTTTATTTGGACCCTCTCAGTCACCAACAGTGCTGTTCATTCTCTGATTGACATCCTTTGTTTTTTGGGATTTGATGCAAAGCACTGCAAGCTCTTGGCTGTGACCTTGGATTAACAATCTTGGTTGTCTCCTGGCTGTACCTTCAAGTCACCTGAGTGTACATCTTTCTGATTATATTTGGTCCCAAGACCCTTCTAAACTAATTCTGCCCCCTCTGGTGGAGATTTTTACCAGGTTCAGCCCAACTCTTTGAAATGGAATAAGACAAAAGGCCCAACCAATAGGGTGGTTAACAGGAGAATGTTCATGATTTAAAAAGAGTTTGGTGATACATTGGAAAGAGTCCAATAATGCATATGAAAACACTGGCTTATTGTTGATCTCCATACACTTTTTTTTTTTTTTAAGACTGAGTCTCACTCTGTTGCCAAGGCTGGAGTGCAGTGGTATGATCTCTGCTCACTGCAACCTCTGCCTTTTGGGTTCAAGTGATTCTCCTGCCTCAGCCTCCCAAGTAACTGGGATTAGAGGCGCCCACCACCATGCCTGGCTAATCTTTGTATATTTAGTAGAGACAGGGTTTCATCATGTTGGCCGGGCTGGTCTTGAACTCCTGACCACAAGTGATCTGCCCACCTCAGCCTCCCAAAGTGCTGGGATTACTGGTATAAGCCACCGCGCTCGACCTCCGTATACTTTTAAAATACTACTGTTGTTACTGATAAAAGCCATAATAAAAATAAGTAGCTGCTGTTTAAAAGTGTTTGTGATTTGACTGTCATGGGGATTTTTGTCTGGATTGGAGGCACCGAGGTTCCCAGGCAGGGAGAGATGGGGTTTTCATCATGATCTCTGAGGGAGCAGTTGAGCCTGTGCAGGTGGTGAGCACTTCTTCTGGGTTTATTGAGCACCTGCTCAGTGTAGGGAAAAGTTTTATTATTATTATTTTTACTTTAAATTCTGGGATACATGTGCAGAATGTGCAGGTTTGTTGCATAGGTATACATGTGCCATGGTGGTTTGCTGCACCCATCAACCCGTCTAGGTTTTAAGCCCCACATGCATTAGGTATTTGTCCTAAAGCTCTCCCTCCCCTTTCCCCCAACCCCCGAGAGGCCCTGGTGTGTGATGTTCCCCTCCCTGTGTCCATGTGTTCTCAATGTTCAACTCCCACTTATGAATGAGAACATGCAGTGTTTGGCTTTCTGTACCTATGTGAGTTTGCTGAGGATGATGGTTTCCAGCTTCATCCATGTCCCTGCAAAGGACATGAGCTCATTCTTTTTTATGACTGATTATATACTATTGTATTACGTGGTGTATATGTGCCACATTTTCTTTATCCAGTCTATCACTGATGGGCATTTGGGTTGTTTCCAAGTCTGCTATTGTAAATAGTGCTGCAATAAACATACGAGTGCATGTGTCTTTATAGTAGAATGATTTATAATCCTTTGGGTATATACCCAGTAATGGGATTGCTGGGTCAAATGGTATTTCTGGTTCTAGATCCTTGAGGAATTGCCACACTGTGTTCCACAATGATTGAACTAATTTACATTCCCACCAACAGTGTAAAAGTGTTCCTATTTCTCCACATCCTCTCCAGCATCTGTTGTTTCCAGACTTTAATGATCGCCATTCTAACTGACGTGAGATGATATCTCATTATGGTTTTGATTTGCATTTCTCTAATGACCAGTGATGATGAGCTTTTTTTTTCATATGTTTGTTGGAGTGTGGGGAAAGTTTTAAGGACTAGGGCTATAGAGGAGAACCAGATACACAAGAAGCTTGATAGAGTTCACACAGCTTCTATCTTAGTAGATGAAGAAAAGAAGAAAGAAACAGTACGTAAATAAGATGTGTTTGGGTAGTCCACTGCCAGGAACCTACCTGGGGAGGGAGTGCTGATTGGACCCCCTTCATCTCCTGCCTCTCCATCTTCTAGTAGCCCTCCACCCTATGCAGTCTCCCTCTACTTTTCTACTTTTTTGTTTTTGTTTTTTTGAGGCAGAGCCTTGCCCTGTTGCCCAGGCTGGAGTGTGGTGGCACAATCTCAGCTCACTGCAACCTCTGCCTCCTGGGTTCAAACTATTCTCCTGCCTCAGCCTCCCAAGTAACTGAGATTACAGGCGTGCACCACCATGCCCGGTAGCCTCTACTCTTAAGCATTCCTCACCACTATGCCCAAAAGAAATAGTCAGGCCACTATCCACAGACTTCTACCAAGGATGCGATCACTTCTGCTCTCAGGGCCTCATCTTCCTCATCTATAACATGGATGGGTGAGACTTGATCTTAAGATCTTTCCTACCTCTATGATTTTGATTTTGAGGCTATGAGAAACTGAAGTGGGTGGGACGGGGACAAAGGTAGCTCTCCCCCATTCTGTGCCTAGAAAGCTGTGTTACAAGTGTTGGGTGGGGGGCAGTATTTTTAAGTCAAAGGTCATAGTTTCCCCACCATTTTTTGAACAGTGCCTGATATGGGGCTGAGAGCCCCAAATATGTCTAATAAGTACCTGCTTATTATTGGATTATTGGTCTTGCCATCATCTGGACCATCACTGTCGTCACGGCTACCACACATCAGTGCTCCTGTGTGCCGGACACTGTGCACACAGGACACATCATCTCACCTAATCTGTACCATAACCCTGCAGAAGAGGCCAAGTTCCCATTTCAAGTTAAGAAAATGGAGACTGAAGAAGTAAAGGAACTACCAGTAAGTGGCAGAACTGAAATCACATCCAGGTACAGATGTCCAAGGCACTCTTTTATGTGAGTATTTTTAATTTTACTTTTGTGCAAAGCCTTAGCCAAAAGGTGTTTATGAATCAGACACCAATCAAAATCTCCCCTGGATAAGAGCCATTGGCCTATCTCAAATCTCCCCTTCCCATCTCTTCTTTCCTATTTCTGTCTTATTTCTCTTCGCGCCCCTGTTCACTCTCTAGTAGCAGAGCATTGTATATCTGTTTGCCCTCCATCTCTCTGGCTAGAGCATAAAGTACATAAGGGTGGGGGCTTTGCTTCGTTCCCTGCTGTAATTCCAGCCCCTGGAGCAGCGTCTGCTACATCGCAGCTGCTCAATAAATACGAGTGAACGAATGAGTGTGAGGAGACAAGGTTGGAGAAAGCAGGAAAAAACTGCAAGGCCCGGAAAAGGAAAGGATGGGATGTAGAGAGAGCCAGAAGGAAGGATACGGGAGGCCAGAGGCCAGGAGTCCCTGCATGAGGATGGGTGGTGGGCCAGGAGGCAGCTGGTGCCCAAAGGGCATATAGACCAGGGAGAAGCCCATCGGCACCTTGGTGTGGTGGGCAACAGAGCCTCTTTACCAAATCTCTCAGATGTATCTTTCCATATACCATGTAATAGGTTTTGTTGTTTGTTTGTTTGTTTGTTTTCTCAGGGAGTTCTATGTCCTACCCTACTGCTGATTGCTGAAGGCAGAACCCCCAGCAAGAGCATTTGACCAAATCTGGGTGACCCAGAGAAACACGTGTATCCACCAGGCATTGAGTCACATCAATGAGGTGACACTAAGCTGGGCTCGATTCCCCAACCTGGTTTTCTTTACAGTTCAGTTTCTCCCTGGGGAAGCATTGAGGACCACAAGAGGCTGATAACGGAGATGACGTTAATTATGAACGGTGCAATGTCCCGGCGAACATAAACCACTGGCTCATTCACAGTTATTTCTGAGAAAAGAATTATTTTGCTTTTGCTCTACTCGTTCTTTCACTGAAATCTAATGAGATGATAATGGGTGTGACAGTGTTTGTTAAGTGCAGAGTTCCATTAAAACGTGGGGAATTGATATTATTGCTGTGAGAGGAAATGGCTGCTTTTTTTTTGGCGAGGCTTTGGACATCAAAGTGTTTGTTGGCTGTGAAAGTGAAAAGGGCTTTGTGCGCACCCTGGGGAATAGATTCTGCCCCAGTTACTAATGAATCTTTTTTTTTTTTTTCTTTTTTTTTGAGATGGAGTCTCACTCTGTTGCCTAGGCTGGAGTGCAGTGGCGCGATCTCGGCTCACTGCAAGCTCCGCCTCTTGGGTTTACACCATTCTCCTGCCTCAGCCTCCCGAGTAGCTAGGACTACAGGCGCCTGGTACCACGCCCTGCTAATTTTTTTGTATTTTTAGTAGAGACGGGGTTTCACCGTGTTCGCCAGGATGGTCTCTATCTCCTGACCTCGTGATCTGCCCGCCTTGGCCTCCCAAAGTGCTGGGATTACAGGCGTGAGCCACCGCGCCCAGCCTAATGAATCCTTTTAAGGAAGGAAGCCAGGACAGTCAGCCAGCGCTTCTCTTGGTCTCCAGATGGGGGTGCCACTGAGCCAAACACAGATTCCTCCCAGCTTCTCCCTGGACAGTTCCCTGGGGCCAAGGAAGCTTCTGTCTACTGCAACTCGCTCCAAATAGCCTTCTCAAGTGTTGCAGGACATTGGGAAGATGAGATGGGGTAATGCTGATGTTATATATGTCTTATCAATACGTGCTTCCTAGCTCACGAGGTTCTCACATGGTCTAGTGGCCTTTGATGCTATTTTCCTGTACAGTGTGAGAAATATAAAGTCTTGGGAACAAATAGAGGTCATCAATGGTTATTTTATGTTCAGAAAGGAAAAGAAAAAATGACACAAAATACCCTACCATTAAGTGGATTGCCAGTTTCTTTTCTGAAGCATGGTTTTAGTAATGAGTACATTATGCAGATAAAAGCAAGCATTTTTAAAAAGCCCCAAACCATAAAAACAAAAACTCTCTTCAAATTATAATGCCCATCATTTTCCACAGAAGCTATGTATTTCAAAACATTCCTGCTATGAAAATTCTGCCAAATAAGAATTAGGAAGTGATTAAAGTCTACGGCTTACAACTTTTTACGTACAGCCTGAATTCTCTGCTCTGCCACCTCTCCAACCACTTGCTGAAACTTTCTGAACTTCTATCGTATTAAGATGGGTCTGAACGTCCACGTGATTAACTGGGAGGCAGGGAGGGAGGGGAACTAGATAGTACAATGTGTGAATGATGTAAAATAGTACATAGAGAGTGCTCAATACGTGGCTCTGAAGTTATCGTTATGCTTTAATGTGGGATGTGCAGGTGATTTTGTTTTTGTTTTTGTTTGACAGAGTCTTGCTCTGTCGCCCAGGTTGGAGTGCAATGGCGCAATCTCTGCTTACTGCAACCTCTGCCTCCGGGGTTCAAGCAGTTCTCCTGCTTCAGCTTCCCAAATAGCTGGGATTACAGGCACTCGCTACCACGCCCAGCTAATGTTTTGTATTTCTAGTAGATACAGGGTTTTGCCATGTTGGCCAGGCTGGTCTCGAACTCTTGACCTCCAGTGATCCACCAGCCTTGGCCTTCCAAAGTGCTGGGATTACAGGCGTGAGCCACCGCGCCTGGCCAGAGGTGCGGGTTTTCTATCCAGCACCTGCGGTGAGGTAAAGCCAGTAGGCAACAGTAATGACTCTGGGTGAGGGTTGTGGATGGCAAACTGTTGAGATGTTGATTCTGTCTACCCTAGGAAAAGGGCAAGCCTGTTAAGAGAATGCCTATTGGATGCCCACCCTACATTTCTGGCAGCAAAAAATAGGTTTTGAGCTTTCCCTATGTGTATTAGACATTATGGGGGCCATATGGGGGCATGAGGCACTTGTGTAAATAGTGATTTTCTGGTTCTTGAGTTTTACTGAAGCCTCATTTATGCTGGTTGAACCAGATAGGGCTAGATATCTACTCTGAATTTTAGAGTTTTTTTTTTTAAACAAGAGGGTCACTGCTGTAGGTTGGGGGTGTTAAAAATATTATTATTATTATTATTATTATTATTTGAGACGCAGTTTCGCTCCTGTTGCCCAGGCTGGAGTGCAATGGCATGATCTCAGCTCACCGTAACCTCCACCTCCCGGGTTCAAGCGACTCTCCTGCCTCAGCCTCCCGAGTAGCTGGGATTACAGGCATGCGCCACCACACCCACCTAATTTTGTATTTATAGTAGAGACAGGGTTTCCCCATGTTGGTCAGGCTGGTCTCGAACTTCTGATCTCAGGTGATCTGCCCGCCTCAGCCTCCCAAAGTGCTGGGATTATAGGTGTGAGCCACTGCACCCGGCCAAAAAAAATATTATTTTTATTATTTTATTATCTATTATTTCCTCCCTGCCCCTGAGCAACAAACTTTCTTTTTTTAGACCCCATTTTCTCAACAACTACTGTGTCTGGACGTACATTATGTTAAAGCAATGGACTACTTCATGAACCAAATCGCTGGTTAATTCAGTGTGAGAGGATCATCATGCAAACATTCCAAATAAATGCTCTTTATGCTGTGAGAAGTCACAGAATTCTTATTTCTGTATGGCTAGCTCATTGATTCAGCCTCACTGATAAGTCCTGGGGAAAAAAATACATGTTTGTGCCCCAACTGAACTCTGCCCATCACGCAAGAGTACTGTTTCTGCATGAGCAAGGAAAGAAAATCCTCAACAGAAAAAGTATTCTATGGCCTGGTGATAATTAATAATAAAAAATACTATTAAGAAGTTTTTCCTGGCTGAGAGTTACTGGGTAATTTACTCACTTGGCAATTGTTGGAGATGACTCCACGTTGCCCTGTCAGGTGTTTGCTTAGGAGCTCGGCACCACGGAGCTACGTCTTGCTCTCAGTCTCCCTCTATTGGCTGGAACATGGATCGTTCTCTCCCCGAGGACCAAAGAATAATGACCTGCATGCACAAATATTCAGTGGGCACATTATGCTCATCTGGACCCCCCCACCAATGAAAGGCTTATTTGGATTTCAAATTAACAAATTTTTAATGAATGCACTCTTCACTCTTTACCTGCGTCATTTCTCTTCCTAGCACCCATCTGACATATATCCATCCCTGCTCCTCGACTTAATGAACCCATCATAAGTTGAAAATATCATAAGTCAAAAATGCATTTAATACACCTAGCCTACTAAACATTATAACTTAGCCCACCTTCACATGCTCAGAACACTTCCACAAGCCTGTAGGTGGGCAAAATTATCTCATACAAAGCCTATTTCATAATAAGGTGTTGAATATCAAATGTAATTAATTGAATATTGTACTGAAAGTGAAAAACAATGGTTGTATGGGTACTCAAAGTAAAGTTTCTACTGAATGGGTATGGCTTTTGCAACACTTCAAAGTAAAAAGAAAAAATGTAAATGGAACCATCATTAGTTGGGGAACATCCGTATTTATTTATTTGCCTTTTGTCTCTCACCCTGATGAGACGGTGAGCTTCATGAGATCAGGAACTTTTGTTTGGTTCACTGCTGTATTTTCGGGGGCCTAGAAGAATGCCTGGCACACAGTAGGTGGTTTATGAATGTTAGCTGAATAAATGAATGGGCATCAAGCATATCTAAGAATTGGGTATCGTGATAAAAGATTAATAAGACATTGTCCCGGCCTTTTAGAAGTTCATAATCTAGATTTGGACCAAAAAGCACTATGATTGAAGGAAGAACTGTTGACACTAGCCCTTTATAATCTAGAGGACACTGGCCCTAGGAAATCATTCACACTTATCTTCAATATTTGAAGAGCTGTCTGTGGAAGAAAGATTAGACTAGTTCAGTTTAGTTCCAAAGAACTTTCCAATTGGTAGAAGGTAGGAGGCAAAAATTTCAGCTTGACAAAAATCTCAGAATTGTCTGAAGTAGTTTTGGTTTGCTTTGCACATCATGGAAGGCATTTAATCATAAAAACTAATTTTCCTTAGTCCTTTCTCAGACATACTGAACCAGAGTCTCCAGGAGGAGGTCCCAGGAATCTCTATTTGATAATAAGCTCCTTGATGATTCAGAGGCAGCTGTCTGCAGACTGTTGTTAGAGAATTAGGGATTGGACTGGGAGACTCAGGTATGAGAGGACTAGTGGAACTAAATGATCTGAAACCATAAGATTTTATGGTTCCAGCTCAGCATGGTGGCTCACGCCTGTAATCTCAGCACTTTGGGAGGCTGAAGTGGATGGATCACCTGAGGTCAGGAGTTTGAGACCAGCTTGACCAAAATGGTGAAACCCCATCTCTACTAAAAATATAAAAAATTAGCTGGGCATGGTGGTACGTGCGTGTAGCCCCAGCTATTCAGGAGGCTGAGGCAGGAGAATCCCTTGAACCTGGGAGGCGCACGTTGCAGTGAGCCGAGGTTGTGCCATTGCACTCCAGCCTGGGCAAAAAGAGCAAAATTCTGTCTCAAAAAAAAAAAAAAAAAAAGATTTTATGGTTCCAGAAGATCATGGAACTCTCTTCTTAATAATGGTAATATTAGTCATTGTGGTCTTTGCTGGGACTGCTACCAAACTAGAAAACCAAATCAAGAAGGTGGGCATGGGAGTCTGGCAGATGTTTTAAGCAACATAGGGTAAAACTCCATGCATTCTACACCCTGCAGAGGGTAGAAATGATTGACCTTCAAATACCCACGCCCAAATACCCCACCTTACAAATTACTGTATTGTAGTCAAATTTGTAGTGATGATTTCTACATATCTCATTTCTAATTTAGAGCACTTGGAGAGGTAACTGAAATAATCGGTCAACTTCTTTTAAGGAGAATTATCAAATAATGAAATGTTTGTTGAACTGATATGGTTTGGCTGTGTCCCCACCTAAATCTCATCTTGAATTATAAGCCCCACAATCCCCACATGTTGTGGGGGGGTAATTCAATAATGGGGGCTGTTTCCCATATGCTGTTCTCAAGATAGTGAGTGAGTTCTCACAAGCTCTGATGGTTTTATGCACTGTTTTTGTTTGCGGGAGGTTTGACAATTTATACCAGGAGTAGGGAAAGGAGTTGAAGGTTAATTGCTCACCCTTCTAAGCTTTTAAAGCTAAAAACACTTATTTAGGAACTCAGATGAGGAGGAATGGGGAGCTCTTATTATAGAAGTCCTAGCCTGCACTGACTCATCCATTTTAAGTACTCATTAAATATTAGACGTGATGATTATTTATTGAGTGCAGAATTGGAGAGTGGCACAAAGATGAATAGTCTATGGTCCCTGCTTTCAAAGATCTCGGAGTCTAGCCTTGATGACGTAATCACAGTGAATGTGACAAGTGTTATATTAGAGGTTCTTAGGGCATGTGGCAAGGGAATGTACAAAGGTGTGTGTCTCCAACCCAGTCTGACCAGAGATTGTATGAATGGGGCTAGTTACCTTTCCCTGACCAGGTCATTAATTTACAGAGGTTGGGGCATTGTTGCTTTTGTTGGTTTGTTTCAGACTGGAAGAAGGAGGAAAGGCTTATGCGTGGTTCCCAGGATGCTGAAGAGAAAGACAGGAGTGTGGAGGGGAAGGCATGACTCCCTTCGCTGCCTGGTCTGAGAGGCTGGACCTACAATGAGAGGAAACACAACCAGAGGTAAAGGAGGGTCAATAAGACTTGGAGTACACATAGTGGAGTGTTTCAAGGCTCTTGCAACCTAATAAGGCACAGAGCAGAAGGAGAGCCATTTTCCCATGGTCTGCCATAGGCCAGAGCAGCCCAGGGAAGCAATTTGGACCAGGAAGTGTTGAATTTTCACAAGGGCATCTGCCACTGGGCAGAGAAGGGCACCTCCTCAAGGAGATATGGGTATCAAAAACTGAAGTTCACCCATGGAGGTGTTGCTGAGCTCCTTTATGAGAGCCCTTGGGGACCCACAAAAATAACTAGGGGATAATTTGAGGGTGGACTTAGTTCTAGGGTCAGCGTTTAAGAAGTTGGTAAAATTCAGGTAATCAAGATCCAGTCATGCATCACTTGGTGATGGGGATATGTTCTGAGAAACGCATCGTCGGGCAATTTTGTCATTACACGAACATCATAAAGTGTACCTACACAAACCTAGATGGTATGGCCTACTACACACCTAGGCTATATGGTATAGGCTATTGTTTCCAGGATACAAACCTGTACAGCGTGCTACTGTACTGAATACTGTAGGCAATTGGAACACAATGGTACTTATTTGTGTATCTATATACAGAAAAGATACAATAAAAATATGCTGTTACAAGCTTATGGGGCCACCTTGGTATATGTGATCTGTTGTTGACTGAGACATCATGGCTGTTTCTGTTCTAGGAACACGGAGAAAGTAAAAATCTGTGAGAAGGTCCTGGTAGATGGGGCTACAGAAATGTGTAGAAAGGACATTATGAACTGGGCTTCAAAGATTAAGTAGGAGTTTGTTAGGCTGACATGGGTTGGTGAGTATCTCAGACAGAGAGTCAGTATCCTTTCTAGAGTATCTCCCTTGCACCTTCGTACCTTTTCCCCAACACCCAGTATTAACTCAGTGCTTCCTTGTGCCATCTAGTTATGCTGCGGGGAGCAGCGTTGTCTTTGGGGTCTCTCTCCTGCTCAGTCTTCTCATAATCATGCCCATGACGTCCATTGTAGACTGCTGGCCCTGTGCTTCTCCACTTTACCATGGGTGGGGCTTGGAGGTGGCCTCAAATGCTAGAACAGGGAAAAGGAGACATCTCTGTCCATCTATGTCCATATTACAGATTCATATATACACATCTAAGGGAGAGTGATTCTTATTTAACAGCAATACAAGTTCCACTTGAAAGCCCCTGTTCTCTCTTTTCCTTACCACCAGCATCATGGTTAGACTGCTGGGCTGGGTGGATAGGCATGTAGAATGAGTGGCAGAGAATGCTGGATTACCAAACAGTGCAGGGCAGAGCAGGTGAATGAGGGGAGCTGAGATGGACCAACCAGCAGCTTGTGGGGTGGCACAGAAACACTTTCAGGATGTCGAAGCCGGGCTTGAGCTGCTTCTCCTGGGGAGCCTCCAAATCCAGAGGCATGATGGCTGCATGTCACATTGACCTGTCTGGTGCTATCAGGAGGGGCATGATCATTTTTGTCCAAAGCTGTCAAGAAGCACATGAATCTAATAGGCTGCCCAGAGTGAAGGAGCAGACTTGGGAACTTGAGTCCCACCTTTGATTCACCATTGCTCGTGCAGATGGGACTCAATCTGTTCCCTAGAAGGGCTCTCAGGGGAGTCTGGCTTTCCTTTTCTACCATAAACCCTAGCTTTCTTCACACTTAGACCTGGGGATTTGGTGAACATCTGCAAAGATAAGAAGATGCCCTCTTTTCTGTCAATCCTCTGATATCCTAGGTTTTGCAGGGAAGCAGAGCTAAGAAAGCGTGTGTAGATTGTGGTCACCTGGGTGATCTCTTGCACAGGACTGTACACACACACACACACACACACACAAACAAATGGTAGGAAGTGAAGGGGCTCCATTTTGCTAAAGCAAAACTAAAACAACAACTATCTCTGTGCAGTTGCTCTGCTGGTCAGGCAGCAAATGGCTCTGCCACACAATTAGAACGATATAACCATTTTCTTTCAGTTTGCATGCCTCCTGCTATTGCAGCACCTGTTCAGGAGACCCTGGGGGCTTTCCATCCTTGTACTCATAATCCTGCAGATTTGAGATATGGACTATGCTCATTTCCCCCACTTTGGCTTCATGTAGTTTTTATTTGATGTGTGGAGGAATTAGAGAGTGCCATGTAGCTGTGCAGGGTGGACATCAGCTCATTAAACTTGCCAAGAATTGGACGGTCCATGAAGATTAATTATTGGCTCTGCCTTTTATGTGCTCTGTCATTAGGCAGACATCTCTGTTGCTCTGAGAAGTTAATACAAATACTTAATTAAAGCCAACCTTTCCTCTCTTTGGAGGCTGTTCCAATAGCTCCCTGCTTCTCAAAACACAGAAGATGCTTCACTGAGTGAGCTCAGGAAGGTCCCAGCAAAGCACTATGGAAGAAATCCAGGGTGGAGTCAGGGAGCTGGGAATCTGCCTGGGGAAAGGGTGATCCTGTCCATCTCAGCTGGGGCTCTTATAACTCCCCTGCAGCGTTCCTGCCCAAAAATGTCAGAAGAGCCTAGAACCTGTGCTTGTTAATGGGCATGTTGATTTCAATGGAAGAAAATAATGCCCAGAAAACCTATTGCATTGAATTCAAATGGATTTCTTTCTGCTGTGCTATTATTTAGTTAACTAAACACAGACTTCTGCACACCAGGAAGTGAAAATGTACATTTTTGAAACCCTCTGATTTGAACCACTCAAAGCCAACCAATATCTGTATTTAGGCCTGGTTGATTGAGTGGGGTAGCAAGTTTTTTTGTTTTTGCTTTTTAGTAGAACAGGCAGTGTCTTTCACATGAGTTATTTGCAAAATGCCCGAAAAAAGCTGTTTAAAGTGTATTTAGGTTCCCAGCCTAGCCCATAATGCTTATTTAACCCACGCAGTGCTGAGCCGCACAGCTGCTGCTTCGTTGGTCTACTGGAAACACATTCTATATCGTTTGTTTTGTAGCAGTGGCAGCCTCTGAACTCTGGAAAGGGTTATCCCCGGCCCACTTATCCCTACTGGTCTGGCACACATTCTAGGTCCAAATGAATGGGCTGGATCAAGTAGAGTCCACTTGTCTTTTGCTCACTCTTTGAGCATACAGCCTCTTCCAGCCACTGTGCTGGGAGGTAAGGATACTGAGATGAATAAACTCGATTGCTGCCTTGAAGGAGCCCATGGGTTCATGAAAAGGGTAGATGAGTCGATCAGCTGTTTCATTGCAGTGTGAGGCTCAAGCTGCTTTGGGAGCACAGAAGCGATCATGTCCACAAAGATGCTCCTGGTTAGAAAGAAGAAATCAAAGTAGGGAGTGAGGCAGCAATACCCAAACAGCAGTTCTTTCGTGGGTGTAATTCATCAAATAATAATTTAAAGAACTGAGTTTGCAGAACACTTTACATGCATTCAAATGGTTTTGATCCTCACACCAGCCATGAAAGGTAGCATTTGTAATTATATTACCCAATTTGTTTAGCATTCACTAATTGAGTGCCCACTGTGGGCTGGCACTGTGCTAGGCTCTGGGAGAGCAGTGAACAGAGCCAGGTCCCTGCCCATGTGCACCTTGCCCTCTAGTAGGAGGCCAAGCTATCCTCCATTGGTGTGACTTCTTTGTGATCATACAGCTAGTTAGGGAGGCAACAGTTGGTACTGGGCCTTCTGTGCAATCGGCTTTTCCACCCTATAACTCACCCACTACATTGAGAACACATTTTTCTAACACTTTTTCCAGCATCCCCAGATAACTCTGCTTGTTTTATTGGCAACAATGACCAACACCAACAAGCAGAGGTTGTCACTAGGCATACAATAATGTGAGATTTCAGCAGTGCTTAAACTAGGAAACATTTCGGATTCCAGAACAATGGTGTACAGGAATGAAGAGGTGGAGGAAATATACTCCGTGAAGGAAGGGGAACATTTCCCCTTATACCCAGGTAATATTGAAAGCTTGGAAATGACTGAGTTAAGCCAGCCTACCATGTGCCTTATTATAGTTTGTTCCATCTATGGCTGTTGTCTGGCATTTTTTAAACAATCACAGGCATTTTCAGGATATATTAAGTCATTTTTATTTTGGTGGTTGATATATAGCTGAAGTTGGCAGGATTGGCTTACTTCGCCTTTATTGGAACTCCACACAAAGTGGTGCACTGGTAAATGTTTGTTCAACAACTAGCTTTCTAGGAAAGATATGTATGCAGATATATAAGCACATATATTTATCATAAATTTTACTGATGTAAAGTGTGTAGCACACAATTCACAAATAAGTATAAAGTAGGCAATACTCTTGATTATAAATTTCAATAGCCAATTGATTCTTACAAAAGGCTTTTGTTGATTTCTGCTGAATTATTGTATCCATAGTCAACCTGGGGTTCTAATCCAACCATGATTTGACAAAAATCAAACTATGAACTAACGTTTGATTACTATCCCATTCAGCAAAGTCACTCAAAGCATTAACAAATGAGTGTAGTTCTAACATGAATGCTGATGGATGTTTTTGTTTATTCTGAATGAACAGAAAGAAAACCATCAAGATGTGGAAACTTCATTCATTAGTCAGTATGAGTAACAGCACTGAATTAGATCATCAGTATTTTTGAATCGGCTCTCCCAGTATTTTTGCATACTGGAAGAATATTTCCTCAATTTTTGGTGCTACTCACAATCTAGCAGCTATAGATCTGCTTTTCAGTTTTATGACACACTTTTACATTGAATCTGCATCATTAACATTTCCTGTCACCTTTTAAAGTATAGACAAGCAACAAAAAAGCCCTGACTTTTAGTGTTTGCCAATTTTTGTGGTGTAAATACTCCTTGTATGGCTGATTTCCAGCGTGACATTACTGCGCACATTGACCAGACGAGATGTGCATACATATCATTATGTAGTACTTTGACAATACAGGTCCAATAGAAGAAAATAACTCCCAGAGCCTAGGTAATAACAAAATGTAGTAAAATTATTAGAAAGAGATGTTTTGAGTATTTATCACCCTTGTTTTTAATACAATTTAATTGCAATTTTATACAATTTAGGGTTTTGTTTGTTTGTTTGTTTTGAGACGGAGTCTTGCTCTGTCACCCAGGCTGGAGTGCAGTGGTGCGATCTCGGCTCACCGTAACCTCTGCGTTCCGGGTTCAAGCGATTCCCCTGTCTCAGCCTCCTGAGTAGCTGGGATTACAGGTGACCACCACCACGCTGGGCTAATTTTTGTATTTTTAGTAGAGACGGGGGTTTCACCATGTTGGTCAGGTTGGTCTCGAACTTTTGACCTCATGGTCCACCCGCCTCGGCCTCCCAAAGTGCTAGAAATACAGGCATGAGCCACCACGCCCATCATTTTAGTTTTTAATAATAGCTGTATTTAACAACCAGCTTGCAAAATCCTGAAAATTTAACAATCAGCTCCCGTGGGTAGTACAAACTGGCTCCAGCACCCCACCACTGTCTGCATATCACTCCCATTTAAGTGGAAAAGATTAGTTTCTTCTCATAAAGTGCTGTGACACTTGCCTTCTAAAATGAAACTTATGGCCGGGCGCAGTGGCTGATGCCTGTAATCCCAACATTTTGGGAGGCTAAGGCGGGTGAATCATGAGGTCAGGAGTTCGAGACCAGCCTGGCCAACATGGTGAAATCCTGTCTCTACTAAAAATACAAAAATTAGCCTGGTGTGGTGTCACGCACCTGTAATCCCAGCTACTCGGGAGGTTGAGGCAGGAGAATTGCTTGAACCCAGGAGGCAGAGGTTGCAGTGAGCTGAGATCATGCCACTGCACTCCAGCCTGGGCGACATAGCAAGACTCTGTCTCAAAAAAATAATAATAAAATAAAATAAAATGAAACATATAAACAGGTGCCAATATATGTATGTCGAATGAATGAATTTAGAAGAATATTTAATCAAAGCATGCTCTTGATTTTTACAAAATCATACAACTGAAAGTAGAATAACTACATCTGAACTAGCAAATACTGTACTTACTGTAATTAGTCCCTGTTCTCTGCTGCAGTGTGATTTTCCACCCTTCTTCTAAAGGTACAGCTTGAATTT
Source organism: Homo sapiens (assembly GCF_000001405.40). Classification (NCBI taxonomy): domain Eukaryota; kingdom Metazoa; phylum Chordata; class Mammalia; order Primates; family Hominidae; genus Homo; species Homo sapiens. Next base: position 14,055,488 of record NC_000006.12, read on the forward strand.
TGAAACTAGGTCCCTACAGTTTGATCCTATCTTGTTTGACTTGGAAGAATAACTCATAACACAGCTGATTTTTAAAATACTGGTAGGTTCCTTAAGACTCTGAGTGTGATGTCTGCTCAGGTGAGCATCTGCTAATTAGCTAGCTGGGATCTGGTCCTTGGGGGACTTGTTTTACCAGCTGCTTCAGGTTGTTTACACTATGAGACACTCACCTTTATCCCTGCAATTAATTAGGGGTGGGGCCTTCACAGTCTTGCTTTTGATTCACAAATGACAAACAACTTCCCTCTCAGCACACTCCTCTCCGCAGTGTTATTCTTCTGTGACTGATCTGTTTGTGGGTTACAGAAGGCAAGCCTAGAGCTGTATTGAAGTCTCTGCTTTTCAGGCACAGAATAAGGTAGCCATCCATCAGATGAGCAGGGACCTATGGCACGACTGTTCTCTTGTCTTTCATTTATTCTCATTCACTCTCACTCACTCAAATAATTAATAAGTACCCAGTGTGATTATTATTATAATCTAAGCAGTGTGATTATTATTATTATTATTATTATTATTATTATTATTATTTTTTTTTGGAAACAGACTTGCTTTGTCACCCAGGCTGGAGTGCAGTGGCATGATCGCAGCTCCCTGAAGCCTCAACCTCCCAGGCTCAAGCAATCCTCCTGCCTCAGCCTCCCAAGTAGCTGGGACTACAGGCGTGCGCCACCACATTTGGCTAATTTTTTGTATTTTTTCATAGAGACAAGGTTTCGCCATGTTGCCTAGGCTGGTCTTGAATTCCTGGCTCAAGTGATCCACCCACCTCAGCCTCCCAAAATACTGGGATTACAGGCATGAGTCACTGTGCCTGGCCATGAATTCTTAATACTTAAAAAACTTCATTGACTTTTTCTTACAGAGGCAAAGCGTAATCATCATTGACTGTAGAAGACAGTAATGAAATACAGATAAGCAAAGACAAAAGAAAAACATCCATAATTCACTCTCTCAAAGATGTTCACTAAGTCTTCCAGACTTTTTAGTGCCTATATAACATAAGATTGCAAAATTGGGACCATACTTAGTCTAAGGTTGTGAGTTTTTTAACTTAAAAATATATAATGAAAAAAGTTACATAAAAACTTTTTAAAAATGTATTTTAGTGATAAAGTTTTGCTCTGTCTCCCAGGCTGGAGTGCAGTGGCACTATCATTGCTCACTGTAACCTCTTACTCCTGGGTTCAAGCTTTCCTGCCTCAGCCTCCCAAGTACCTGGGACTGCAGGTGTGAGCCACCGAGACCTGCTAAGATTTACTTTTAGTAAGCCTTTAACACTAGTTAGTCCAAGGAGCAGACAAGATGTTCCTTTAGACTCATTGTCTTGAAGGGAAATGAAGTGACCCTTTTTGTAGTCCTGTCCACTCTGGAAGGGCAGCACTGGTGCAGAAGAAACCGAGTGGCCACCGCAAGCCCTTCTGCATAGAATAAGCTGTTCATGGAATGAGGCAGTTGGAGGCCTTGGAATCTTGTCGTTATTTTCTTGTGGTGTCAATTGGATTAGAATCTGTAATTTTGGAAATTAGATTGTTGTTAATTAATGCATATTTCTGTAGTTGCTTCCTTTAGCTTAGTGGTAAAAAAAAAAAAAAAAAAAGAAAAAGAAAAAGAAAAATTGGCCAGGCACAGTGGCTCACGCCTGTAATCCCAGCACTTTGGGAGGCTGAGGCGGGTGGATCACGAGGTCAGGAGTTCGAGAACAGCCTGGACAATATGGTGTAACCCCATCTCTACTAAAAATACAAAAATTAGCCAGGCATGGTGGTGTGCACCTTTAATCCCAGCTACTCGGGAGGCTGAGGCAGAAGAATCGCTTGAACCCGGGAGGCAGAGGTTGCAGTGAGCTGAGATTGCACCATTGCACTCCAGCCTGGGCGACCGAGTGAGACTCCGTCTCAAAACAAACAGACAAAAACAACAACAACAACAACAACAAAACAAACAAACAAAAAATGCATGGTTGTGGTATTACCCTGTGCTAAGAAGAAACAGAAAAGAGCTTTGGCGGCATCTTTGCCTTTAAAATAGAGGGAGCAATGATCTCCTGGGACCCAGCCAGGGGAAGAGGTGGCCAAGGTCAGAATTCTCCTCTGAAAAACTCTGCATCTAATGTTGGAGACCTGTAGGCATCGCTGCCTCCTTTTGTCTCAGAGCAAATTGTGGAGATGCTAAGATTAGGCTCTGAGCTCAACTGTTGATAAAAAATAAATAGAGGCAGGCAGGCAGCCTGGGGTGGGGTGGGGTGGGGTGGGCTCCTTCACGGAAGCTGGAGAGCAGCAGGGAGGAGGCACGCTCTCCCCCGCTCTGTCCTTCCCTCCACTGCCTTTCCCCCAGGGGTCATAGCCCACACCCACTATCACCTGTAGCTTAGGCCTCTCTCTCCTCTGAGCCGCTGACACTTGTGGCCAGCTTGTTACCCAGCAGTTCTACCTGATGTCCCGCCACCCTCTTCACACTGAACGACGGAAAGGGAGCCCATTGCTACCCCGCATCATCAACTCCCGTCCTGCTGTGGGTCCCCCTTTCTTTCTTTTTAACTGTCTCTACCGTCTGTCTCCACTGTCTGTCCCACTGCCACCAGCTTGGCTCAGGCCCTCATGATTTGTCACCTGTATTAGCACAATCCCCTCCTTTGAAGACACAGTCCCTGCCTGCAGCCCAGCCCCTCACAATGATCCATGTTCTGGTGAGCTGCCTACAGCCTTGCTACTGCACGTGGGGTGCCCAGACCGGCTGCTTCAGCATCGCCTGGAAATGTGTCAGAAATGAAGAATCACCGCCCCCGTGTTCTCGATCAGTGAGGGTCCTGTCTGAAGATGGAAAGCTCCATTAATGTGAATAAGGAAAATTTGATATAACAAATGGGCAAATGGATAAATAAATTGTATCCATTCATGCAAAGGAAACTTATTCGGGAAACAATATGAATGACTCCCAAGGGCATTATGCCAAATGAAACGCTCAAGTCTCAAAAGGTTGTAGGCAGCATGATTCTATTTATAGGACATTCTAGAAAAGGCAAAACTTTAGGACCAAGTTCAGTGATTTCCAGTGGCTAGGAGGAGGGGGAGGATTTTATTACAAAGGGACAACATGAAGGAATTTTGGGGGGTGTGGAAGTGCTGTGTACCTTCATTTTTAGGTTGGGTACACTTGTCTACACTTATATTAAAACTCATGGAACTGTACACCAAAGAAAGCCAAGTGGACTGCAGGAAGATTAAGAATAAATAAATAAAGTAATGCATTATAAACCATTGACTTAAATCAGAAACCATAAGTTCATATTGATAGAACTAAGTAAATATAAAATATCTTCCCCCAAACACTACAAAGCGGGGAAATATTAACTTTATAGTGGAGAAGCCTGGTCAACCCACTTTAATAGAGTGACTAAAGGTAACATCATCAGTAATGTACTAAGGAGAATCATTTGCCATCTGGTGAGATGCAACGTGAAGATCACAGTCAGGGCCAGCTTCATGGACTTCTGCAATAGCACAGGGCTCAGTGCTCAGAAGGGGCATACGTTTGGTTTAATGCTCTGTTGTCAGTTTGAAAGTCTTAGTAATTGTTTAATGAGGGGTCCATCTACATTTTCATTTTGCAGTCATCCCTGCGTGTAATGTAGCTGGTTCTGAACACAGTATCCTTTCTGTGATTTTCCTGCCACAGATGTATAACCTGAATTTGATCATGGTGAAACATCAGACAAAGCCAAATGAATGGACATTTTACAAAACCAGTTGCTTGGTCCCTTCCCAAGTGTCAAAGTCACAAAAGTCAATGCAAGATGGAGGAGCTGTTTCATGTTGGAGAATGCTAAGGTAACATGACAAGTAATTGCAATGCAGGTTTCTGTATTGGGTCCTTTGGCAACAAAAAGTGTTGTTGGGACAACTCATGAAACTTGACTGAGGTCTGAAGATGAGATAGCAGGAATGTACCAGAGTCAGCTTTCCTATTCTGATGGTTGAATTGTGATTGTACAGGAGAATGTCTTTGTTTGTAGAACTTCCAAACTTAAATATTTAAGGGTGATGGGGCATCATGTGGATGTCTAACACTGAAATAGTTCAGGGCAGAAATTCTTTGTGTTCTCTTTGTAAGTTCTCATGAAGTTTGAGGTTGTTTCAAACAAGAAAGAGTGATAGGGAGGAGACAGAGTGATGAAGGAGAGGGAACACTTCTCTAATGAGGTGACATTTGACCAAGACCTGAATGAAGTGAAAGAGCAAGTCACTGAGTATATGGAGGAAGAACATTCCAGGCAGAGGGAACAGAATGCACAAGGGGTGTGAGGAGGGCACACGCCTGAAATGTTCTGAGAAATAGCCAGGAGGCTCATGCAGAGACAGAGAATGAGAAAGTGGTAGGAGGTGAGGTCAGGGAGGTAATGGGGACCGAATCAAGTCCCAGCAAGGATGTTTGGTTTTGTTCTCTGTGCTGGGAGACATTGGAGGGTTAGCCAGAGGAGCGACATGACACGACTTGCGTCTTACAAGGATGTCTGTGGCTGCTGTGTGGAAAATAGATGACAGAGAGGCAGGGGTGGAAGCAAGGACACCAGTTGGGAGACTGTGGGAACAATTCACTCTCTGGTGGATAACAGGGCTGCAGGAACCTCCAGGAAGATTGCGAAGAGCCACTGCCGGCCCACAGCACAGAGCACTGGGCTGGCTCTGCCCCAGCAGCAGTGATGCCATCTGACCGCTCCTGCATCTCATGCCCATCCTCCCTTGGAGGCCTGCCAAGAGGTGTCTGGCACAGAAGCTGCTCGTCAAAGGGCAGTTCTGATCATGACTCATTAGAAAGGTTGAAAAGCCAGCTGGTTGCATTTTTAATCGAATATTTCATTATTTGGCACAATTGCTAAAGTGTCTTTTTAAATTAATTATTATAGAACCAAAGACAAGCTCAGGGAGAAATATTGTAATGGTCAGATTTTGTCTTACTGCCTGGAGCTGCCTGACGACTCCAAGCACTAGAGTTTGCATCCTCAATGCCCTTGAATGAAAGGGTCTTGAGGTTTTATCTAGTCCTACCCAACAACAACAAAAAAATTTGAGCATTGACCTCTGATTTTTGGACCCAAAGGGACCTTGGTGGAAAATGATTCCAGTCCCCTCTTTTTCTGGATCCATCAGATGAGTGATAATTTAGAATTCAGTTGGTTTTGTTTTGCTCCAAACTCATCCTCATAAAGTTCCAATGATGAAAAGATATGGACTTAGGTGCTAGGAGTTGTGTTCAACTTTCTTCTTGGAACACCCAGTAGTCTTGAGGACATATCTAAAAGACAATTTCATGTCTTTTTTTTTGTTTGGGCAAGAACAATGCTTTAATATTATTATATGATTCTTTTCAAACATAAATATACGCTTATGGCATTATGTGTAAAACACACATTTTTAAAATCCAAGAGCAGGCTTACACTTGAAGAGCAACATTTTAAAAATGTTTCTTTCCTACCTTTAATAAGTGCATATCTATTGTAAAGTGCATTTCCAATGTGATCCTAAGCCTCTGAGACAGTTAATCCCCAGTTTACAAAGCAGAGACCCAGCTTGGTTAGAGGATGATTTGCTCTAGGTCGGAGACAAAGCCAGTGACCTTGGCAATGAACAGCTAGTTAGAGTTGAGTGATTTCCAGGTCAGCACAAAAGATGAAGCCCTGCCAAACAGAGCTGTGGTCACTGATTTTGTTGGCTTGATAGTGACTGAACTGGTTTTTATTCATCCCATAGTGCCTGTTCTTATATTCACTGAGAAGGATGGTTTATGTTCAAATTTTGTTTGAAGAGATTTATAGCATTCAGAGGGTAGAGATGAAAATATGATCTTCTCCTTAACTTTTAGGATTATAATTCTGGGGAAGATGAACGATCGTTTAATTCTAAAAACACAACAAAAAAAATTTAAGCTTTAATTTAATAGCATTGCCATGAATTTAATCTTTCAAACAATTTGCACAAAATGTTAGGCATTGCTATGGTCTATATGTGGTCTATATGTGACCCTCAAAATTCATATGTTAAAACTTAATCACCAATGGGATAGTATTAAGAGATGGGGCCTTTAGGAAGTGATTAAGTCATGAATGGATTAATGCTCTGATAAAAAGAGGTTGAAGGGAGCATTCTAGTATGCCTTTTTGCCGTTTTCACCCCTTCCACCATGAGGATACAGCAACAGGTCCCACACCAGACACCAGTTGTAAGTGTCTTGATCTTGGATCTCCCAGTCTTCAGAACTGTAAGAAATAAATTTCTCTTCTTATAAATTATCCAGTTTCAGATATTTTGTTATGTCAGCACAAATAGATCAAGACAGGCATGCTGTAACGTTCTGATATGTCAAATTTAGAGTAGCTATGTCAAAAATCACGGGTATTTCCTGTGGCTATAACTTACGTTTGTGTCTTATTTCCTGAAACCATTCATAGATCTACTTACTTGGATCACATACTTCCAATACATTTTGTCACCTTAATAGACTGAATAAGAAAAATAAAAATGTCTGGGTCTTGAGTATACTAGCCGGGTGACTTTAAGTTTCTATGCACGTGAATATTCTCATTGGTGGGTCTAATTCTCATCTATAGGTTACTGCCTTTTATGGTCTGAATAGTGTCCCCCCAAATTCATATGTTAAAGTCCTAACCCCAAAACCTCAGAATGTATCTGGAGATAAGGTCTTTAAATAGGTAATTAAGTTACAAGAAGATCTTTAGGGTAGTTCCTAATCCAATATGACCAGTGTCCTTATAAGAAGAGGGAGTTGTGACACAGATATGTACATGCATAGAGGAAAGACCATGTGAAGATACTGGAAGAAGATGGCCATCTACAAGCCAAGGAGAGAATCCTCAGAATGAAACCAGCTGACCTTGATCTTGGACCTTAAGCCACCAAAACAGTTAGGAAATAAGTTTCTGTTGTTTAAGCCAACTAGTGTGTGTTTCTTTGTTATGGGAGCCCTAGTAGATTGATACAGATTTTGGTACTGGGAGTGGGGTGCTGATATAACAAATACCAAAAAATTCAAAGTGGCTTTGGAACTGGGTAAGGCTAGAAGAGTTTTGAGGCCATATTAAAAAAACCTAGTTCCTCGAAGAGCCTGTTAATAGAAATATGGACATTAAATATGCTTCTGGTGAGGTCTCACACGGAAATGAACATATTTTGGGCACTGGAGGAAAGATGATCCTTGTTACAAAGTGGCAAAGAACTTGGCTGAATAGTGTTCTAGTGTTTTGCGGAAGGTAAAACTCTTAAGTGACAAACTTGGGTATTTAGCTGAGGAAATCCCTAAGCAAAGTGTTGAAGGTTTCTCTTTACCACTTACAGCAAAATGTGAGAGCACAGAGTTAAGTTGAAGAAGAAATTGTTAAGCAAAAAGGAACCAGAATTTGAAGACTTGGAAAATTCTCAGCTATATATATTACAATGCATGAAGAGTTAGGTTAAAAGAATATCTTTAGGGTGGTCTCTAATCCAATATGACCAGTGTTATACAGTATTGAATAACAATACTGTCTTTTATGTTACAGGGTAGCTATGATGATCAAATGTAATTGGTTTTATATGTACTCTAAGATCTTGGTAAACTATAAATTGTTCTACAAAAATAAGGTGCAACAAAGATAAGATGAGGCTTGGATCTTTAAAGTCTCAATCCAGCCCTCTTTCTAATATATTATCTCATGCCAAAGACTTCTAGACTTCCAGCAAATCAGATCAACAAGCATTTAATTAAATACTCTGAACAGCACACGAATAGATACAGTAAGGTGGCCAGCACAGTGGCTAATGCCTGTAATCTCAGCACTTTGGGAGGCCAAGGCAGGAGGACTGCTTGAGGCCAGGAGTTTGAGACCAGCCTGGGCAATATAGAGAGACCCCATCTCTATAAAACATAACAAAATTAAAAAATTAGCTAGGTGTGGTGGTGTGCACCTGTAGTCCCAGCTACTTGGGAGCCTGAAGTGGGAAGATCATTTAAACCTCTGAGTTTGAGGCTGCAGTGAGCTATGATCATCACTGCACTCTAGCCTGGGCAATGGGGTCTCAAAATAAGCAATAGAAAATAAGAAGAAGGCACAGTCTTTCCTCCACAGTATCTAGAAAGCAAAAAATAAACATATTTCTCAGCTAATAAACTACACAGCAATCTTGAGATAATATATTTTCAGCTTTCCACATTAATTAATTGGTTAACCTCTAAAGCAAGTTGGTATTCTTCCTAACATCTTTTGGGGAAATGACAAAAGCAAATTCAATTTAGAATCTTATAAACTTTTATTCTTTTTTGTTGGTTTGGCACAGACACATTTCTTTTTTCTTTATAACTTCTATTATTCTCTTGGAAGGGCCAGGTTTTCAAATCAGAGGCTGACATCACAGTTTGCAGCTCCTGCCAAACAAAAGTTTCCGATGGAGAATATTTGCAAATTTGACCACTGATTTAATTAAAAACGTTCCCAAGAAGTGTAAAAGAACAAGTTTTCAGATCTTTATTTGCAATTGTGAAGCAGTCTGGAAGCTTGAGCCGTGATATCTACCTTTAGTACTTCTTAGGAAGCTCAAAGCATGCAGCCTCCTGAGAGTGGAAAGCTTTCATCCTTTCTTTCCTCATTCAACCTCACCATTGCTTTTGGAAAGCCACATCTGCTGGAATATAGGGGTTAAAATTCTGTCTTCCCCTAGTCACAGGGGTAAAAATTTTCACAAAATTAATAATAATAATAATAATAATAAATAATGGGGGGCTGGGCATGGTGGCTCACGCCTGTAATCCCAGCACTTTGGGAGGCTGAGGCAGGAGGATCACCTGATGTCAGGAGTTCAAGAGCAGCCTGGCCAACATGGTGAAACCCTGTCTCTATTAAAAATACAAAATTAGCCGAGTGTGGTGGCACATGCCTGTAATCCCAGCTACTGGGGAGGCTAAGGCAGGAGAATTGCTTGAACCCAGGAAGCAGAAGTTGCAGTGAACCAAGATCATGCCACTGCACTCCAGCCTGGATGACAGAGGAATACTCATTCTCAAAAATAAATAAATAAATAAAGAATGGGAAGAGAAGAGAGAAGATAATTGAAGGACACCCAGAAACCTTTCCCATCATGTCAGAAATTTACCAGCTACATGAACATTTGCTTCCGAGACAGTATCTGCATGGATCATATCAACTGACTAATCTTCATGGGAATAATTCTTTTTGTAAACCTTTTTGCTTTCTAAGGAATCCACTTGAAAGAAAAGATCTTGGATACAATGGCCCCTTACTACAGTTCTGTGAGGTGTTACGGAAATGTAATCATATCCTCCATCAGTGATTTAAGGGAGTACAGTAGTGAATTATTTTGTAAAGTGTAGAATTTTCTTCCTACTTGAAGAGTCTCTCACTCACTTTTGATTTTTAAGTTTGGATTTTCATGTATTTGTCTCAAAGTCAGAGACATAAATCAACACATGACCCCAAAGGAATACTGGAGGACTACACAAGGGTCTCTGGCAGAGCAAATCTGTTCTGATTCCACACCACCCATCTTCACTCACGACAGAGTCGCAGCGTGGGACAGTGCCTCCGTTCCTATAAAGAAAGGCCACTCTCAGTGTGTTCGGCTGTGCTGTCATGCACTACTACACATATCCCAAGAACCCCAGATACTGAAAAAAGAGAAGTTGCTTTCCCAAAACAGAGTTTTTTCCTATGATCAGCTCATGATCATCTCTCTCCCTTTATCTTTCTTAACCCTAAAAAACCAGTTTTACTATTCATCCATCCTAACAAGGTAAATTAGCCAAGACCTTACCACACCTCCTTTACACTTTCATCTTCCCCCTTTTAGCTGCCTTTAGCAGCCTTATGGATGGGGTTTCACATCTCCCTATATTCTGTACAGGCTGTGTGTGTGCATGCATGTGTGTCCCTGTGTGTGTGTATCTGTGTCTGTCTCTGTGTCCCTCTGTGTGTATATCTGTGTGTTTCTGTGTCCCTGTGTGTATGTATCTATGTCTGTCTCTGTGTGTGTGTGTGTATCTCTGTCTGTGTGTGTGTGTATTTGTGTGTGTGGGGGGGGGTGGGTATGTGTGGTGTGTTTCTCTGTATTCCTTTTCATTTCTCCCTAGGTGGCTGTGCCCAGATCGCCTCTCTACTCCTTCAGATAAAAAGCAAAGGGCTTTGGGGAGGCTGAGGCAGGAGGTTCACTTGAGCTCAGGAGTTAGAGACTAGCCTGGGCAACATAGTGAGACCTCGTCTCTCCAAAAAACTTTAAACAAAAACTTGAAAAAGCAAAGAGCCTTGGGTAATAGTGACAGTAGTCACAGCTAGCGTCCACATGCAGCTTCCTGTGTATGCATCAGGCAGCTCATCACCTGTATATCTGTGGACCACTTTAATCCTCATCACAACCATACGAAGGTGGAACTATTAGTCTCATTTTACAGATGAGGAAATGGCTACGTAAACTCTTGTAAAGAAATCCAGACAAGGCCGGGTGCGGTGGCTCACACCAGTAATCCCAGCACTTTGGCAGGTCTTGGCGGGTGGATCACTTGAGGTCGGGAGTTCGAGACCAGCCTGGCCAAAATGGTAAAACCCCTTCTCTACTAAAAATACAAAAGTTAGCCAGGCATGGTGGTGCGTGCCTGTAATCCCAGCTACTCGGGAGGCTGAGGCAGGAGAATAGCTTGAACCTGGGAGGTGGAGGTTGCAGTGAGCCAAGATTGCACCACTGCACTCCAGCCTGGGCAATACAGTGAGACTCAGCCTCAAAAAAGAAAAAAAACAAAACAAACGGAAACAAAACAAAAAAGAAATCCAAAGGAATGAATAATGAACAATACACTGTCCCTCAAATGTGCTCTCCCCTCAGGCTCACGTTCTTCAGTATATACACATATGCTTACTATATGTGACTACTGTAGTACTATACATTACTACTGTGTCTTAGCTCATTCACCTTAGAGACAAATGGATAGTAAAATTATTTTTTTTTTAGAGTTAGGAAAGGAAAAAAGAAGAGGAGAGGGGTCATGAGTTGATTATATAAACAAACCTTGTTTTGAAGAAGTAGCTTCTCTTATCTCAATGTGTGTGTGTGTGTGTGTGTGTGTGTGTGTGTGTGTGTGAGAGAGAGAGAGAGAGAGAGACAGAGAGAGACAGAGACAGAGTATATGTAGAGCACAGGTTTGGAAAAATCCCTATACCATAAAATATTTCATTGCATCCTTCATGTAATGTATTCATGAGCCTGTAGCTTTCCTTCCTTCCTCCAAGGTAGTCACAGGGGACAACAGTCGTGAGTTGACCTGCTCACAGAGTGTCTAGATAGCGCTGGCACCCAGTAATCCCATTAAAATTTTCCTTAAGGTTCTCTTCCACCTCAAGCCTCAAGACTTGAAACTTGGCAGCCTGCTACCTGGTAAAGCACACATCTTCATGGTACATTACTGCCACCTAGAGCTGATATATTGAAACACAGATTCTAGATAAAGCAAAACTGAGAACAAAGCAAAATAAAAAGTCACGCCCAGCCCTGTCCTAAAGCAAGCTGTTTTAGTCCAAGCAGTTTAGATTAAAAATATAATGGACTTTAAGATGAAATTCCTTTCTTCAAGACGTCCAACTTCCTATCTCTGTAAGTGGGTTACCATCCAATAATATTCAAATTAAAAAGCTCAAATGTAGTAGCTGTCAAAATAAGGAAGAAGGAATTTGAGAGAGAGAGACAGGGAGAGAACATGTTTTGAAAAATAAACCTTTGCAGTTGTAGCCATCATTTGAAAGATGAGGAAACTGAAGCTCAAAGCTGTAACGGATTTCTTTTTTTTTTTCTTTTTTTGAGACAGAGTCTTGCTCTGTCTCCCAGGCTGGAATGCAGTGGTGTGATCTCAGCTCACTGCAACCTCTGCTTCCCAGGTTCAAGCGATTCTCCTGCCTCAGCCTCCCAAGTAGCTGGGATGACAGGCGCCCGCCACCATGCCAGGCTAATCGTTTGTATTTTTAGTAGAGACAGGGTTTCGCCGTGTTGGCCAGGCTGGTCTTGAACTCCTGACCTCAGGTGATCCACTTGCCTTGGCCTCCCAAAGTGCTGGGATTACAGGCGTGAGCCACCACACCCTGCCTGTACCAGATTTCTTGAGTTCAAATCACTAGCAAGCAGTTCTGGCAAGATGGAATACAGGGCTCTGGTTTTTTATTCCAAAATGAAATCATAACACAGAATCAGCGTAAGCCTTAACATAACTCCACAATTAGTGGTGGCCTTCCAACTGCTCCACCCACAGTCCTGGGGGGGGGTGTGTCCATGTGCTGTTCTGTGTGAAGGTCACCCTTGGTAAGATCTGGTGGCTTTGGGATTCATTCCTGGGAGCAGCGTTGGGTATACACCCATCTGTGCACATCCTCTCCGCCAACCAGCAGATGCTTGTCAGATAGTGGCTGAGGTTAGAGGGCAAAGTCTGTGAGTGGAGACCCTGATCTACAAGGGCAGAGACCATAAAACAAGCTTTATTATACCGTGTTCTCACCCACCATTCCTCAATCTGGGAGGTGTAAGGAAGCTGTTCTTGTTAAGTGAAGATGTGGCCCAGATGGAGGAAAGGAAGGAGAGTCTGTTTTGTGATCTTTCTTGTGCTTGGACGTCACTGGAGAAGTCTATAGACCTATTCTTAAAATAATGGTTTCAAATGCATAAAAGGAAATACATGGGATTGTAAAGGAAACCAATTATGGGCAAGCGAAGTAACCACATTCTTTAAAAATATGTGATATTATGTGTCTTAGTCATCTTGGCTACTATAACAAACAAGCTGCCCACAGACTGGGCGGCTTAAGCAACAGACAATGATTTCTTATAGATCTAGAGGCTAGAAGTCCAAGATTACGATGCTGGTGAGAGACAGGACTAGCTGGATTTCCTAGGCTGACTAAGAATCCCTAAGCCTAGCTGGGAAGGTGACCGCATCCACCTTTAAACACAGGGCTTGCAACTTAGCTCACACCTGACCAATCAGGTAGTAAAGAGAGCTCACTAAAATGCTAGTTAGACAAAAACAGGAGGTAAAGAAATAGCCAATCATCTATCGCCTGAGCACGGAGGTGGGGGGACAGTGATCAAGATATAAACCCAGGCATTGGAGCTGGCAACGGCAACCCGCTTTGGGTCCCCTCCCTTTGTATGGGAGCTCTGTTTTCACTCTATTAAATCTTGCAACTGCACTCTTCTGGACCGTGTTTGTTACGGCTCGAGCTGAGCTTTCGCTCACTGTCCACCACTGCTGTTGGCCACTGCCGCAGACCCGCCGCTGACTTCCATCCCTCCGGATCTGGCAGGGTGTCCGCTGTGCTCCTGATCCAAGGAGGCGCCTGTTGCCACTCCTGATTGGGCTAAAAGTTTGCCATTGTTCCTGCACGGCTAAGTGCCCGGGTTCCTCCTAATGGAGCTGAACACTAGTCGCTGGGTTCCACGGTTCTCTTCCGTGACCCACAGCTTCTAATAGGGCTATAACACTCACCGCATGGCCCAAGCTTCCATTCCTTGGAATCCGTGAGGCCAAGAACCCCAGGTCAGAGAATAAGAGGCTTGCTGCCATCTTGGGAGCGGCCCCCCCGCATCTTGGGAGCTCTAAGAACAAAGACCCCTGGTAACACTGGCAGATTTGGGTTTTGGTGAGGGCCCTCTGTCTGGCTTCACAGTGCCACCTTCTCCCTGGATCTCCACATGGCAGGGAGAGAGAGAGAGAGGAGTGGGGAGAGAGAGAGGACGGGGAGAGAGAGGTCTGGTATCTCCTCCTCTTCTTATAAGAGCACCAATTCCATCATAGGGACTCCAACCTCCTGATGCCATCTAAACCTAATCACCTCCCAAAGTTCCCACCTCCTAAATACCTTCACATTGGGCGTTAGTACTTCAACATATGACTTTGGAAAGGGGGGACACAAACTTTCAGACCTAATAACCACCATACTTGTGAAGGGGTGATGAGCATAGCTGGTATTTTGAGGTATCTGCCACAAGGAAAGAGAACATGAAAATATTGACAATTTCCTGTAGTGACAAAGTCTCAGGAACTTGGTATGCTATTGTGATTTGTTGCTTATGTACATAATTGAGGAAATGCTAAATTTCAGTAGGAAGTTAGTAAAAATAAGTATGTAATTTTCTCTCACCCATATTCGCAGACCCTGATTGTGACAGTTAATACTCAGTGTCAACGTGATTGGATTGAAGGATACAGAGTATCTCCCGTAGACTTCTCCAGTGAGGTCCAAGCACAAGAAAGATCACAAAACAGACTCTCCCTCTTTTCCTCAAAGATACAAAGATACAAAGTATCCTGGGTGTGTCTGTGAGGGCGTTGCTAACATTTGAGTCAGTGGGCTGGGAAAGGTAGACCCACCCGTAATCTGTGGCGGCACAATCTAATCAGCTGCCAGCTCAATTAGAATATAAGCAGGCAGAAAAACGTGAAAAGAGAGGCTGGCCTAGCCTCCCAGCCTACATCTTTCTCCCTTGCTGGTTGCTTCCTGCCCTCGAACATCGGACTCCAAGTTCTTCAGTTTTGGAACTCGGCCTATTGTGGGACCTTGTGATTGTGTGAGTTAACACTTAATAAACTCATATATATATATATATATATACACATATATACGTATATATATATATACACATATATATACATATATATGTGTGTGTGTGTGTGTGTGTGTGTGTATATATATATATATATATATATATATATATATATATGAGTTCTGTACCTCTAGAGAACCCTGACTAAAAACTGATATTCTGTCCGTGGGCCTTAGTTTATGAACCTCTGCCTTAGAGAATTCAGCAAACTTATTGGTTTGTAGTCAGCGGGATACAAGGAGTTTTGGAGCATGCTGCAATGGACTGTATTAAATAGCCCTGACAGGGTGCTGAGAGAGACAACTGTGATTGTGTGGGCAGGAATTGTCACACAAGCCGCCCCTGGCCGCAATATTCATCTTCCCCCAGCCATTTCTGGAATGGAGGACATGGATCAATTGTAAGGTCTATCCTAAATCCAGTGTCCTTTTCTCACTGCATGGCCTTGGGTGAAAGGGTGAAAAAGAATGTTAGCAGGTTGCGTCAGCCTCCTGGCCAGAGACCTCTGACTCCAATAGCGAGCTCTGCTTTTTTTTGTTGTTGTTATCTTCCTGGATATATTAGGAAATCCACAGATTTGTGTTCCTTAGGGAAACAGTTAATTTCTAGTGTTCAAGGCCAAATGAATCCTTTCATAAGTAGAGTAAAAGTTAAAATTCAAAAGGGGAGAGGTAGAAATAGTTGGGAGGGTGTCAAATCTCAATAGAAACATCTTTCCAAACTAGAAGCATTTTTTCTTGAACATTTTCAGTATCTAAACTAGTAAAAGATGTCTCAAAATATCTTTTCAACCTTGTTAAGGAAAACCATTGACCAATTCTAGAGGGACTATTTTAAAGCCATTTCTTTGAGTCCATCCTGAAATTAAAACACTCAGGGAGATGTTCTAATTAAACTTTCTAATAAAAAAGAAAAATGCCCCATATCACTTCATTTAGATGCTTCTCCTGCCTCCAAGTTAATAGTGTCATTGGTACCTTTTCAACATATGAGAGCTTAGGCTCACGGAAGGCCTCTAGTGCATGTACACCTGATGTTCACTGTGGTCAGATGTCCACAATGTGGCACTTCTGCAACAGGCATGCTTATGTGCTGGGGGTGGGGAGGGAGGATGATGACTATGCTGGGGAGGAAGGTGGGCTCCTGGCTGCAGGCACATTCAGAAAACTGTCCGCCTCCATCACCTTTCCAAAAGCCAGGCCTGCTTTAATGAGGTGGGAGCAGGAAGGAAGTGAAGACTTATCACAAGGGAAGCAGATGGGGGACAGAAGAAGCCAGAGAAGGGCAGTTATGGAATGCATTTGGAGTTATAAAAAAGTTAGTTGTTGCTCGGCGTGGTGGCTCATACCTGCAATCGCAGCACCTTGGGAGGCCAAGGTGGGCAGTTTGCTTGAGCTCAGGAGTTCAAAGCCAGCCTGGGCAACATGGTAAAACCCCATCTGTACAAAAAAATACAAAAATTTAGCCAGGTCTAGTGGCCCAAGCCTGTAGTCCCAGCTACTCGGGAGGCTGAGGTGGGTGGATCACCTGAGCCTGGGGAGTTGGCTGCAGTGAGCTGTGATGTCACTTACTGCACTCCAGCCTGGGCGACAGAGCAAGACTCTGTCTCAGAAAAAACAAAAACAAAAACAAAAAACAAGTTGTGGCCTGTCATCTCAGCACTTTGGGAGGCCGACGAGGCGGGCAAATCACCTGAGGTCAGCAGTACGAGACTAGCCTGGCCAACATGGTGAAACCCCATCTCTACTAAAACCACAAAAGTTAGCCGGGCATGGTGGCACATGCCTGTAATCCCAGCTACTTGGGAGGCTGAGGCAGGAGAATCACTTGAACCCGGGAGGTGGTGGTTGTAGTGAGCTGAAATTGCGCCATTGCACTCCAGCCTGGGTGACAAAGTGAGACTCCGTCTCAAAAAAAAAAAAAAAAAAAAAAGTGGTCCTAGTGCTTTTTTGTGAAAAGGGAAATTCTCAATATGATGCAGACATACCCGCTGATTCCCGTAATTTCAGGCTGTTAGCAAGAAAAGCCAAGGGGATTTTTAAAAGCCCATGAGCCACATTCGGTGAATACACTGGGCATGTGCTCCACTCTCCCCAGCATCTGACTCATCTTAACACACAAACCAACAAATTCTCCACCCGAAGCCAGAGTGCAGCCTGACCAACATGCCTCTTGGTTTTTAAGGGTCTTTATCTTTTGAGAGGATAGACACTAAAACAATTTGTACTGGCCGGGCATGGTGGCTCACACCTGTAGTCCCAGCACTTTGGGAGGCCAAAGTGGGTGGATCACCTGAGGTCAGGAGTTCAAGACCAGCCAGGCCAACATGGTGAAACCCCATCTCTACTAAAAATCAAAAACTAGCTGGGCTTGGTGGTGCATGCCTGTAATCCCAGCTACCTGAGAGGCTGAGGTAGGAGAGTCGTTTGAACCCAGGAGGCAGAGGTTTCAGTGAGCCAAGATCATGCCACTGCACTCCAGCCTGGGTAACAGAGCAAGACTCCACTGTAAATAAATAAATAAAATAAAATAATTTGTACTGAATAAATGAAGACTAGCTCAGAGAATATAAAAGCATAAACATTTTATTTTGGTAAACTCTCTTTTAGTTTTTGTTTATACATCAATATTTAAATGCAAATATAAACAGAATATACCTTTTTATATAATTTATATTGTTTCAATATAATATGTACATTTTCTCATGATGGCCTATAGCCTTTGTAATTACCAAGTGGCTGTATACAGGGAGATAATATACCATAATTTATTAATTATGCTTCCATTTTTGCATATGCATTTCTTTTCCAATTTTTTGCTATTTTGATGTTTTTCCTTCATAGAGCTTTTTCCTTCACTTGAATTAAGGAGGCATTTTTGGGATAAATTCTCAAGAATTGCATAATTGGAGCACAGAATATGAACACCTTGTTTAAATGAATATATATTATCAGTTTGCTTTGCCAAAGAGTTGTATAAATTGACAATATCAACAGCATTGAAGGGTGTTCTAATTTTATCATAAATTCACCAGCATAAGGTCCTGTCTTTAAAAACCCTTTGTTAATTTAGAAGATATATGATGATTATTTTAAAAATTTACATCAGCTTACTGATGAGATTGGACATTTCCCCATATATCTGTTTCCTATTTGTATTTTCACAAATAGGAAAATTGGGGGATTTGGGGAGATTATTGCCTGTATCTTTCCCAGTTTATCTACTGGGTAATTCATGTTTTCCCACTACTTTAGAAGGACTTCTTAGTATATAGATACTAACACTTTGCTATTCATATTTGAGATAAATAATTTTATTTTTTATTATAAAGAAGTATATTTTGCATGTTTGAATGTGTTAATTTTTTAATTAAATTGTTACTTTGTTACCGGAAAGGGGTCCCAATCCAGACCCCAAGAAAGGGTGTATTAGTCGGTTCTCACACTGCTATAAAGAACTACCTGAGACTGGGTAATTTATGAAGAAAAGAGGTTTAATTGACTCACAGTTCCACAGGCGGTACTGGAAGTATGGCTGGGAGGCCTCAGGAAACTGACAATCATGGTAGAAGGCAAAGGGGAAGCAAGTATGTGTTACCATGATGGAGCAGGAGAGAGAGCTAAGGGGGAAGTGCCACACACTTTTTTTATTTTGGAGACAAGAGTCTTGCTCAGTTGCCCAGGCTGGAGAGCAGTGGCATGATCTCAGCTCACTGCAACCTCTGTCTCCAGGGTTCAAGTGATTCTTGTGCCTCAGC
Source organism: Homo sapiens (assembly GCF_000001405.40). NCBI lineage: Eukaryota > Metazoa > Chordata > Mammalia > Primates > Hominidae > Homo > Homo sapiens. The sequence continues at coordinate 14,073,932 of NC_000006.12, forward strand.
CTCCTGAGTAGCTAGGACTACAGGCACATGCTACCATGGCCTGCTAATTTTTGTATTTTTAGTAGAGACGGGGTTTCGTCATGTTGCCCTGGCTACTCTCAAACTCCCAAGCTCAGGTGATCTACCCATCTTGGCCTCCCAAAGTGCTTGGCTTACAGATGTGAGCCACCACACCCAGCCACTACGTACTTTTAAACCATCAGGTCTCATGAGAACTCACTCACTATCATGAAAACAGCAAGGGGAAATCCACCTCCATGAACCGATCACTTCCCACCAGCTCTCCCCCCAACACTGGGGATTACAATTCAACATGAGATTTGTGTGGAAACAGAGTCAAGCCATATCTGAGGGTTTTTGTACCTCTCACAATCTGTCTCTCCTGGGATTCTAATGTACAGGTGAGTTTGATAACCACTAGGCTAGAGGAAATGTACTAGAAAACACACACACACACACACACACACACACACACACACACACAGAGAGAGAGAGATTTAATGTCTCAAAATGTGTCTGCTCAAAAGTATCATTCAATAATTTCATGTCTTTTTGTATAAAAGGTCACAGGGATAATATTTACTTCTAAGGAAAATGTCTTTTGATCATGGGAATGATCCAGTTAAAGGGAATAGCTCAACTAAAAGTCAAGGTCTAATTTATAAATGAGGTTTATACTCCCCTTTTCCCCATGGTTCCTTCTTGCAATTTAAATCACATAATGGATTGTCATAAATGGGATCATAGTTTCCTGCAGGGACCCTGCTCTAATTATTGGTTGACTCTTGATTAAGAACCAAGCATGACATAAATTAATCAGAGATACAAGTAGCAGTCTGTCAGAAGAATAACTATTCTGTGGTTAAAATCTTTTTATTTCATATAATAAAACCACAGTTCAAGTCCAGAACCGGGGCCTAATGTGTGGTGTATTCAGATTATACAAGAGATACCTAAACCTACATTAAACGAAGAGGCAGCACACCAGAACAAAGCCCCACTGTGTCATAAACTTCACCGAAAACTAAACTGTGCCAGCTATGATAGTTACCTCAAAAGATTGTCCTGAGAATTATAATGGGATTTGTATGTGAAAGAACTTACTGAAAATCACAATTATAACCACCACATTTTGAGTTCCATTATCTGCCAGACCCTGTACCTGGCACTGAACAGACCTCATTTCACTTCGTTCTCATGGTAACACTTTGAGTGAGGAATTAACTCATCCCTCGTTCAAGGCTACACTGCCAGGGAGCCGGGATACCAGGAATGAACCCGGCCCTTCCTCCCACACATGTCCCTCCCATAAACCCTGCTCTGTCTTTTACAAATGCCATGCAGCTAATCCCAAGCATTGTGATTAATGTTCTCTTAGAATACAGAGTTATTCACAGGATTATTTGGGAGGCCCAGACAGCTTTAACAAGCTGCCTAAAGACGTTCAAGCTGATGGTTTCATTTTCACTTAGGAAGAACTTCTGACACTGATTGGGGCATTCCGTCTTTCTGTTACCCTTGCAGTCGTTGTGATAGGAAAATGTTTTTGTGTTTGATGATGAAGGTTGTTACTGAAAGAACTCAGATTTCAACTCTCTCTAGATCTCCAGGATATAAGTGAAAAAAGCAAGGTTTCAGAAACAATAAAATGCCAAGCTATATATAAGAAAGAGGGAAAACACACAGAGTCCTATTTGCTTAATTTTTTTATATGATAGGATAAAGCAAAAACTAATAAAAAACAGTTACTTATCAGGAAGAAGGGACAGGTCAGAGAGGTGAGAATGGAAGCCAGACTTCTGAGTTCACATTTTGTTGATTTGACTTTGGACTTATGTAAATGTTTTATATAATTACAAAATACAAGTGAATAAAAATAGAAAACAATCCTTCAAAATCGAAAGCAAAGTGGAAAAAAATTAACCTTGTTAATTTCTTAACTTCTAATCACTTTTGTTGAGCAAATGGGTCAACCACATATAAAGGAACTATTTCATATGGCTTTCAAGTACTGTAATATAAATACATCCCCAGTGGATTATACCTTAATGGACCAAACAACTATAAATAAATTTTAAATTGTGTTCAATAATACTACTTATTAATTATATCTTTATTTGGTAATAATATTGGTATTGTTCATTTGAAACATATGTCTGTTTATATATATGTGCAAATATATATGCATCATAATTATGTTAAAGTTATTAGGAACCAAGATTTTCAGTTTAAAAAGGTTGCAAGCATAAAATTAAACAATTTACATACAAACCCTATAACTCTAAATTTAAGTTGACAATATTGATATGAACTCATGATATATCTTCTCTTATAAAAGTATTTCTCCTACAAGCTCATGCTTGTAATCCTAGTACTTTGGGAGGCTGAGGCAGGAGGATTGCTTGAGGCCAGTTCAAGACCAACCTGGCCAACAAGCAAGATCCCATCTCTAAAATAAAATAAAATTTAAAAAAAGTATTTCTAACCACTGTTCACTAAATAATCTGGCAATGAGCATTCTTAGCACTCAGATATTTGACTCTAAATGCCAATCTCCAATAAAAGAAACCAACATTCTTTGGACAAATAGCTGATTCTAGGTTTGGGACAAGAAGTGAACAAGGTGAACCCAGAGCACATTGATTTACTAGAAAGCAAGGAGATTATCAAAGCCTTTGGAGTTGCATCATAAGAATTCTGGATTGGGAGGCTGAGGCAGGTGGAGCACCTGAGGTCAGGAGTTCAAGACCAGCCTGGCCAACATGGTGAAACCCTGTCTCTACTAAAAATACAAAAATTAGCTGGGTGTGGTGGTATGTGTCTGTAATCCCAGCTACTTGGGAGGCTGAGGCAGGAGGATTGCTTGAACCTGGGAGGCAGAGGTTGCAGTGAGCCGAGATTGCACCACTGCACTGCAGCGTGGGTGATAGAGTGAGACTTCAACTCAAAAAAAGAGAGAATTCTGGAACCAACTTGAAGGGACTCTCACTGGGCAAAGATGGAACATTTTGAGCTTCAAAAAGAATAATAACTACAGCAAATAGAATAACTTCAAGGAATCATGTATGTTAAAATCCACAAGTTAATTATAATACTCAAAAATCGTCCTCATTGTTCCCTTTTGGAAGATGCTCAGAAACCAAGTCATTATTTTAAAAGCCAATGAAGAAAATGAGTGAATGATTTATCCTGTCTTGCCTGTGTGAATTGTACTTCAGGGTTAGCAAGCAGTTGTTACAAGAAAGTTCTTTATGCAAGAATTTCAGATAATAAATGCCAGAGAACTAAGAATTTTAAATCGCATTTTTCAACCTCTAATGAAATAATGGAATCAGGCACTGATCAGCAATGGCTATTGATGCCATTATATGAAAAGCTGATGGAAAGCTTTATATGGTTGTGTCAGAGGCATTGGAACCGGAGAGACTCCATCTTGAATAGGGCTGGGTAAAATGAGGCTCACACCTGCTGGGCTGCATTCCCAGGTTAGGCATTCTTAGTCATAAGATGAGATAGGAGGTTACAAGATATGGGTCATAAAGACCCTGCTGATAAAAACAGGATGTGGTAAAGAAGCTGGTCCAAACCTGCCAAAACTAAAATGGCGATGAAAGTGACCTCTGGTCGTCCTCACTGCTCATTATACACTAATTATAATGCATTAGCATGCTAAAAGACAGTCCCACCAGTGCCATGACACTTTGCAAATTGCCATGGCATGGTCTGGAAGCTTCCCTATATGGTCTAAAAGGGGGAGCAACCCTCAGCTCCAGGAACTCCCCACCCCTTTCCCAGAAAACTGATGAATAATCCACCTCTTGTTTAGCATATAATCAAGAAAAAAAGCCATAAGTTTACTCAGTCAAGCAGCCCATGCTGCTGCTCTGCCTATGGAGTAGCCATTCTTTTGTTTCTTTACTTTCTTAATAAACTTGCTTTCACCTTACTCTATGGACTCACCCCGAATTCTTTCTTGTGCAAGATTCAAGAAACCTGTCTTGGGGTCTGGATCTGGACCCTTTTCCAGTAACAGCTGGATGAGGGCGACAGTTCTTGAGCCTGTGACCAGTCATAACATCACAAAAAAGGAGACACTCCTTCCCATGCTGGCTAGCTTTGGTGTTCCTTGGCTTACAGATGCATCACCCCTAGCTATACCATAATCTCCACATGACATTCTCATTAAAGTCCTTCTGGTGTATTCTTGCTGAAATGGCCAAACCTGAATCTGGCCATGGGATTAGGTCTACCACCCAGTTTACGGGAAACACAAGAGGACAGAGAAGCATGTTACAAATGGGATCATATGGAAGAAATCAGCAAAATCCAGAAGAAACTGGACAATGTCCTGGATTCTTCAACAACTACATTGCAAGTAGATAAAAAGAGAAAGAAGGAAACTATTATGGGTTTAATTGAGTCTTCCCAAAGTCTGTATATTGAAGTCCTAACCTCCCTTAATTCAGAATGTGACATTATTTGGAGATAGGGTCTTTGCAGAGGTAATAAAGTTGAAATGAGGTCACTAGGGTGGGCCCTAACCCAATATGACTGGGGTCCCTATAAGAAAAGTTTGGAGTCAGTTACAGATGAGGAGAATGCCATGTGGAGATTATGGTATAGCTAGGGGTGATGCATCTGTAAGCCAAGGAACACCAAAGATTGCCAGCATGGAACGGAGTGTCCCTCCCAGCCCTGAGAAGGAGCCAACTCCACCAGCCCCTTGTTACAGACTTCCGGCCTCCAGAACTGTGAGATAATCCATTGCTGCCATTTAAACCACCTGGTTTATGGTACTTTTTTTTTTTTCTTTTGTTCTTGAGACAGGGTCTCACTCTGTCACCCAGGCTGGATCAGTGGGGTGATCTCGGCTCACTGCAACCTCCACCTCCTGGGTTCAAGTGATTCTTGTGCCTCAGCCTCCCGAGTAGCTGGGATTACAGGTGCACGCCACCACACCCGGCTCATTTTTTTGTATTTTAGTAGAGACAGGGTTTCGTATGTGGGTCAGGTTGGTCTCGAACTCCTGGCCTCAGGTGATCTGCCCACCTTGGCCTCCCAAAGTGCTGGGATTACAGGTGTGAGCTGCCGCGCCCTGCCAGATTTGTGCTACTTTGTTACAGCAACCCTGAAACCGCCTTTGCAAAATTATGACTGAGACAGTGAAAGAGCTCTAACTTAACCAACTCCATCTTGCTTCTAACCTCCAAGCTGTCCTTGTTCATTCCTGGGTGTAGGCTGAATTAACTTTGAGAGAAACTTAGTTTATAGTTTAAACAAAGACTTTAACAGCTCTTTGCCAAAGCAGTCCTCCTTCTTGCCTGGGGACTAGATTGCCTTTGTAGGACTAACATTAGCCACAAGATTAGAAATTATGGTTTAGGAGTCACGCAGCTGGAGGCTACAAGATCCTGACAGTCCCTAAACTGCTCCTAAAATCAGTGCTTGAGATATTTGGCAGACCCTGCACTTGATGGATCAGCTGGCACAGCTGGCACCGCCCAGATGGATAAACTGGCTCACCTGATCTTGTGGCCCCCACCCAGGAACGGACTCAGTGCAAGAGGACAGCTTTGAGTCCCTATGGTTCCATCCCTGACCAATCAGCACACTTGGCTCACTGGCTCCCCTGTCATCCACCAAGTTATCCTTAAAAACTCTGCTCCACACTGATTTGAGTATTTATAAAACTCTGGTCTCCCGCCCAGCTGGCTCTGCGTGAATTACTCTTTGTCTATGGTAATTCCCCTGTCTTGATGAATCAGCCCTGTCTAGGCAGCAGGCAACCCGCTTGGGCGGTTACAACCCCAGTGAACTAAAATAGAAACCTATGGAATTAAAAGAGACTCAAGACATATTAACAAAAAGTGCTGTGTGACCCTAGTTTGGATCCTGAGCTGAACAAATAATTGTATTAATATATTCTATTGGGTATTTGATGATATTAAGAAAGTGCAGAGTTGTTTAGGCATGGTAATGCCATTTTAGATATGTTAGAAAAAGAGTCCTCATCATTTAGAGATAAGTATTGAAGTACATATGGATAAAATGATAAGATGTCTGGGATTTGCAGCAAAATAAGCCATCAGGGACAAGAGCAATAAATTAACATTGGCCAATTGATAATGATTCTTGAAGCTGGGTGACCGGAACAGGCAGTGATGGACTGGGAAAAAGGCTGGGGAGTGGCGAGTTCACTTTTGAACCGTTTGCCAACTTCTGTGGGTTCCCACCATGGCTAATTTCAAGCTAGCCATGACTTAACAGGCATCTTGCAACATTCCTGAATATTTAACACTTAGGTCTCAGGAGCTGGTGGTAAGAGCTGGTTCTAACACAATGCTGTTCTATTCTTTCTATTTTGTGTATTTGAAATAGTCCATTTAATCAAAAAACAAAAAAAAAACAGAATCTGGCCAATATTTCTGCTTTTATTTTATTTTATTTTTTTTGAGATGGAGTTTTGCTGTTGTTGCCCAGGCTGGAGTGCAATGGCACCATCTCAGCTCACCGCAACCTCCGCCTCCAAGGTTCAAGCGATTCTCCTGCCTCAGCCTCCGGAGTAGCTGAGATTACAGGCAGGCACACATCACCATGCCCAGCTAATTTTGTATTTTTTTTTTTTTTTTTTGAGACAGAGTCTCGCTCTGTCACCAGGCTGGAGTGCATTGGCACAATCTCAGCTCACTGCAACCTCTGCCTCCCAAGTTCAAGCAATTCTTCTGCCTCAGCCTCCTGAGTAGCTGGGACTACAGACACATGCCACCATGCCCAGCTAATTTTTGTATTTTTAGTAGAGACAGGGTTTCACCGTGTTGGCCAGGATGGTCTCGATCTCTTGACCTCGTAATCCACCTGCCTCGGCCTCCCAAAGTGCTGGGATTACAGGCATGAACCACTGCGCCCGGCCTAATTTTGTATTTTTAATAGAGACAGAGTTTCACCATGTTGGTCAGGCTTGTCTTGAACTCCTGGCCTCAGGTGAGCCGCCCGCCTTGGCCTCCCAAAATGCTGGGATTATAGGCATAAGCCACCGCGCCTGGCCTCATTTCTACTTTTTGCCCTGGAGGTTGCTGTTGGAAAAGGGGACATCAGGCCTTGGAAGTGTAAGGGCCAAGGGAAAGCTTCTCCTCTGCCCTCTAAAGGTTTGCGCAAATGAACTTACAATAGGCAGGTTCATAAGAGAAAAAAGCATTCAAAACGTGTTATCGTGCATACGGATATGGGAGCCATACCAAGGTATGAGACATGAAGAGGGACCAGATGGATGAGGCTTGAATACTCTGTATAAACCCTGGAGGCAGACATTATTTTGCAAATGATTATTTTTGGAAGCTGGATAGGAGTGACAATTTCAGAAGGTGAGAGGAAAAACTGCACAGGAACAAAGGTTGTGTTATTATGCAGATAACATCCTCCAGATAATGTAGGCGCTTCCCTCGGAAAAATAGATGAAAGGATGTCTGGGTGTGGTGCTGACCCCCAGTCCTTTCTCTTCCTGGTGATTAATCATTCCTGGTTATTTGATGAGATTCCTAGGTAGGGGTTCTTAAGGCAATTGCATTTCTTTTGGAAAGTTTTTTTAGTCAGATAAGAAAATTCTAGGCTGGGTGGTGTGGCTCATGCCTGTAATCCCAGCACTTTGGGAGCCCAAGGCAGGAGAATCTGTTGAGCCCAGGAGTTCAAGACCAGCCTGGGCAACGTAGGGAGACCTCGTTTCTACAACAACAACAACAAAAAATTTAGCCCGGCATGTTGGTGCTTACTTGTAGTCCCAGCTACCCGGGAGGCTGAGGTAGGAGGATCACTTGAGTCCAGGACATTGAGGCTGCAGTGAGCCATGATTGCACTACTGCACTCCAACCTGGGCAACAGAGTGAGATCCTGTCTCAAAATACAATATAAATAGATAAATAAAATAAAATTCTAGACAGAGTGCTTCAGGAAAGAGGATCAGAGAGGCAGGAAGTTGGCGATATGTCAGAGAGAGACCCTGAGGCTGCTTCTTTAGTTCAGTATGTCAAAGTGCCACATTATAGAGTATTGTTTTCTGAGCCCCAACAGAGGACACAGTCTCAGCTGAGTCCCAATTCTGCAACCTACTTGCTATGTGACCTTAGGTAAGTCATTTAACTTCTCTAAGCCTTGTTTCTCAGTGGTAAAATGAGAAAAATACTACTTCATAAGGTTGTTGTGAGGATTAATTAAAGTAACATAATGGCTTTTAAAAATGTCAAATATTGTTAACATGGTAATTACAGTTGTTGATTATCAGACCGAAGACTAAAAGGAAATGAAATTAAGAACTGACAGTAGACAGCTATTAGAATGTTCTATAATCCTGTGAAGGCCAAAAAAATCATTACTAAGTCGTTAGCAAGAACTTTGAAAAGGGATCTTCCAACCACCTTGGGAAATCACTAAGAGAGGCATTGGCAGTGCGGCAAGGACATTCAAGGGACTATGAGTCCTTTGACAGTGGCAGCAGGAATGCTGTCCACTAAGGAGCCTTGAATAAATGGAGTGTGAAAGAGAGAAACATGGGGGAAACCTGAGCTGAAAAGTGTCATCCCACATCACGAGGCTGGGTGGGAAAGAGAGGGGTTTGGTGAATCCTTTTTGCAATGCAACTGACAATAATTCCAGTGCACATGTGTGAACTCGGGTTAGAGTAAGGAGTGGGCAGCCCCGGTGAGTAGAGATGTCAAACAGAAGCTGCAGGTGAATGGAACATGGGCCTTGAGGCATCCATTCTGCCATGGACATTGACTGACTGACACCTCTGGGAAAAGTTTGGAGCTGACGTTTCTCCTGTCTGGGCCCCCAATCCTAAGAAATGCTATATATATATATATTTTTTTTTTTTTCTGTAAGTAAAAGACACAATTACCAGATCTTCAGAGTGGATACTGGATGGACACTTCCCTGGGAGGAGGCGAACAAGAGCCTGAGACTTTGCTTCTCCCTCACGTTCACCTTTCCTGCATTGCTGCAGTCCTTAAGGGAGCTGTCTGGAGGGCCCTAGCTGCTGCATTCATGCTTACCTCAAGGGGTGTCATTTGCCTTATAATACTCTAGGCCAAGGTGGGGTCGATGGGGTGAATGAATCAGTCCTCAGCTTTCAGCCACACTGTAAACCCTCCCCTCATTTTAACAGGTGGTTCCTAAAGAAGAAAAAGCCTCCAGGACAAATAAAAACAAAACCAAAAATCCCTAGACATAATGGCAGAGGTGCAGGTGATGCACCATGAAGTTTTAGGGTCAAGATCTTGTCACTACCGTCTTAAATTACAACTGTGTGTAATGCTGACTAAAGGCCACCCAGAGGGTGTGGATGCCTTAGCAAATGAGGTTCCACTCATTCGTTCATTCATTCGATAAAAGGATACTGAACACTTCCTCTGACACAGACACTAGAGATGCTGAGATAAATAGAACATGGCTCCAAGCTCTGAAGATGACAGCAGAGTGTTTAAATGTGTGGGTTCTAGGACCAGGATGCTGTGTGACCTTGGTCATGTCACTTGATGTCTCTGTGCATGAGTTTTTGTATTGATGACATGAAGAATTTAATAGACTTTCCTTCCCAGGGAGATGTGGTAAGGAAAAATGAGCAAATACATGAAAATCACTTCGATTGGTGTCAGGTACCTGACATACATGCTTATGCTATTATTATTTATATTATTACTTATGCACCAGCAGCAATTCTTTCAGATTTCTGGATATCAGAGTAAATATATAAATAAATAAAACCTCCATCCCAGGCAAGTAGTTAAAAAAATAAAAAATCCACACACTGTCCCATTGCAGTGCCTGGAATGTGTCCCCTGAAATGATTTCAGAACCTGCTGCCTCTGTAGCTAGAAGGTGATTTGATACCAGATTGCGTATTTTCCATTCAAATAGCTCACTTTCCCCACCAGCACTCTCCCCCAGCCCACTCTGCTTCCACTGACACACAGAAGCAGTGCTGCTGGATCAATTTCTCTCTCAGTTCAGCCAGCACAGCCAGCACAGCACATCTTGGCTTGGCCTTCAGCTCAGTACAGAACATGTGTGTCTCCTCATTCATTCGGAGCCCATATCCTTGTCTTGGTTTCCTGACAATGAGACCGAGCAACTCATCTCATCTTATCTTCTGCACACAATACCCATGATTCCTGTGCATCCCTGTTCCTAAAATCCTTGAAGCTCCTGCCTGGGAGGATTTCCACTGAGAAGAGGAGAAATCATCCCCTACCATCATGTAGTGGTCCAAGCTCTCTCTCTCACTCTCTCTCTCTCTCTCTCTCTCTCTATATATATATATATACACACACACATATATATACACATATATATGTATATATAAAAATATATAAAATATATATTTTTTGAGATGGAGTTTTGCTCTTATTGCCCAGGCTGGAGTGCAATGGCACGATCTTGGCTCACCGCAACCTCTGCCTCCTGGGTTCAAGCGATTCTCCGGCCTCAGCCTCCCAAGTAGCTGGGATTACAGGCATGCACCACCACACCCGTCTAATTTTGTATTTTTAGTTGAGACAGGGTTTCTCCATGTTGGTCAGGATGGTCTTGAACTCCTGACCGCAGGTGATTTGCCCACCTCGGCCTCCCAAAATGCGGGGATTACAGGCGTGAGCTACTGCATCTGCCTGCGGCCCAAGCTCTCTAACAGTGGCATGCGTGGGGTTTGAACAAAGAGAATCTCATGAACTGGGTTTGCTGAGGAAGCGGCTCTGAGTTGGGAGCCCTTGGATTTCACCAGATGAATGAGACAAAGGAGGTGGGAAGGGGTCGTCCTGTCCAAATGGAAATTGTTAACACTCTCCCCTGCAGCACCTGCTCCTCCCTTTGTGTTCTTTGATAGACAATTTTATTTGTTTTAACCACCTCTTCTTCACCCCATTGCTGAAGGAGAGATTCCCGCCCTAGGATTACAGGGGTGGCCAAACACGCACACTGGGCAGATGAGACCCGCAGCAGTGTGTTAGTTCCATACACTCACAGCATGGACGAGGAGGACACTGTGTGCCACACAGGGCCACAGGGAGGTTGCGCTCCAAGCAGAGTGAACAACCAGAGGCTATGGACGAAGGCAGGCTTTGTAGCAGCAAGAAGATGGAGTGTCCCTGGTTCCCCCGGGAGGATGTGACTGGCTTGTTTGAATAACTCCATGGACTGGCAGGGAACTGAAGCCCACTACTCACAGATAAGCAGAAATGCATCTGTTCCCCTTGAAAAGGAAGGCTGTTTGGCTTGGGGATCTTACCCTCAGGAGAACAATGAGGGGATTTTGCAGTCAGGCCATTTAAGGCCCTCTCAATTTAACCAGATGTCAAGGCAGCACATTTGTGAATTTTAAGCCCTATACCACATCATCATCCACTTGGTCGCACAAACCAGAGTGTGGGTCTAACACTTGACCCCTTCCTCTTTCTCATCGCCCACAGCCAATCAACCACTACATTCTATTGTTTGTGTCTTTTTAGTATATGCAATCCATCCACTTCTTGCTGTCTCCATAGTTCCAGTCACTTTCATTTCTCATGTGATTTTTGCAAATTAACCTTCAGCTCTTTCTGAGGATCTACAGCTGCTGGCCCCTACAGGCTTCTTCCTCCCCAGAGCACCCAGCTTGGCAAGCACAGCACGCGCTGTTCCCACCTTACTCACCATCTGGGTCAGGCGCTATTGTGCAGTGCACACCTTGCATACCTGTGTGGCAGCCTTTGGTTTTATCTCTAATCCTGTTTCCCCTCTATAGCTAGAGAGCTTTGGGAGAAGGAAATATGACTGTACCATTGCCTATTTGCTTCAGGACAAATCTAAACTCACTGCTTTTGGTGTGAAAGGCCTCTTCCTTCTGCTTCACCTCTCTCCCTTTCTCCTCTTGCACATTTTGCCTGCATTGGCCACAGTAAACTGGTCCCAGTTTCTAAATAGTCACTGTCTACCTCTGAACCTTTTCATGTTCTGGTCCTTTTGCTGGGCTACTTTTTTTCCCCACACAAACTCACTCTCCCAGTCTCAGGGGAGCCCTCACTTCTCCCATAAGCTTCCTTGGCCCTGGCTGAGCTTGGTTTGGGCACCTCCAACGCACGCTTGAGCTTAATCTTGTCATACACTTCCTATGTGTTAGTATTTGCTCCTCTCTCTACTGATCCTATAAGACTCTGAAAGTCAGGACCTGTATCTTTTCACCACCACACTGCCAACATCAGGCAAGGTGCATGGCACAAAGGAAACATACAGTAAATCTGTCAACCAAAAGAGGGCCATTCCGCTCAGAGGAAAAGTGTTGGTTGTTATCAGTGATTGAAGGCTTACTATGGGCCAGCTTTAGTTCCAAAGAGAGAGAGAGAGAAAGAGAGAGAGAAAATGATTTCAAATATATATATATGTATATATATACGTATATATATATGTATATATATACGTATATATATATACGTATATATATGAAAATAATGTCCCAAGTGGGTTTGAATGGGAGATAGGGGTTTTCACTTTTCTCACCTGATTTCAGATCACCAGCCTCTCAGTGTAAGCACGTTGCTTCTTTGAGGGCAATTTTAGTGTTTGGAGATATGCATTTTTCATATGAAATGCCAGCCAACTGCTCTTAGCCAAAGAAAGAGTGATCTGTCCCAGTGCTGGCTGGAAGAATGGGCCCGGTGGCAAGTTTTGGAGAGATCACAGATTGGTCTCCAATAGGGTGCCTGCCTACATGATTTTTCAAGGGTAACTTTGAGTCACTGCTTTCATTAAATGTGCTGACTTTAGACCTCTCCACTGCCTCAGACATGATCCCATAGCAGTGGGCTCTGGCTTTGCCATTTTGAGTTTGGCTATTTTCAAGACAATTTATCAGGTAAACTCCAATTCTAAGTCCTTTTGGTTTGAGACACTTCCTTGCCTGAAGTGTATGACTCATTCTCTCTTTGCTGGTGACTATTTTATCAGTGATGGCGAGGAATAAGGGAACTAGAAATACTGAGTTATAAATTTAGAGCTAAAAGTAACTTAAGGATTAAGAGATCCAAATCCCCCATTTTGCAATGAGAGAACTGAAGCCCATGGAAATGTACAAATGTGTGAAAACCACAGGATGGATAAAAAGAAATCCAGGTCTATTCCTTTATTCAGTGATTTTTGAAAGGAGTTTCAGATCAGGAAAAGCCCAGTGGATGCAGATATCTTTGTGTTTGCTTTTCAGCTGGTCATGAATAATGCTGCTCACTTATTGTCTGCATTAAATACCAGCCTTGGAATCAGGGCTTTGATAGAATGATTAAATGTGTACCTTAATGAGTTTCGAATTAAAGTTTGTGAATAACTAACTGAATGAACCATCTTGCTTCTGGGGTAACGATGAGATGGAAATCCTCCTTAAGGTAGATTTGGTGTCACAGGATTACAGATTCCAGAAGTTTCTAGTGGAGATCTTGGGATTCACATCTCAATGGGCTTCAGAACTTTTCTTTCTTTTTTTTTTTTTTTGAGACAGTTTCCCTCTTGTTGCCCAGGCTGGAGTGCAGTGGCACGATCTTGGCTCGCCGCAGCCTCTGCCTCCTGGATTCAAGCGGTTCTCCTGCTTCAGCCTCCTGAGTAGCTGGGATTGTAGGCATATGCCACCACCCCTGACTAATTTTGTATTTTTAGTAGAGACAGAGTTTCTCTATGTTGGTCAGGCTGGTCTCAAACTCCCGACCTCAGGTGATCCACCCGCCTCAGCCTCCCAAAGTGCTGGGATTACAGGCGTGAGCCACCGAGCCCGGTGGGCTTCAGAACTTTAATTGTGAGGTTTTGAAGCACAGCCCCAAAAAAGAAACTGTTACTTGAAGCCTATGTTTTAGGAAACACAAATGTAATATTGATGCTCACAGCCACTGAAGAAGTAATTCCACGCAGGTCTCCCAAGCAATTTATTGGACAGGTCTAGAGGTTTGCAAAATGGATTTTATTCCATTTATATTTTGGTTCTTAATCCTCCTTTATGCCAAATACTTCACATTTCAATTTGGTATTTCAGAATCTATTTAAATAAATCACTAGAGCTTAATGGAAAATCAAAATCAAATTAAATAAATGGGCTAACTATTCAGCTGCTAAGTTTTACTTCAGCCATTACAAGGTTAGGAAAAACCACGGAGCAATTTATAACTAACCCGACTGCTCAGGGAGAGACCTCTATATCAGCTGTCCCCTCCTGAGCATACTTAACCCATCTCAAATGACACATGGAGAAAACATCAGTTCTTTGACAAATACCTACACAAGAACAATTTAAATTGCAAACCCAAATCAATATCAAACACACATCCTGCTGCATTTTAAGTAGAAATAGGGGAGATAGCAATGTAGAATTCATTGCAAATCATAAAAGTTTATTTACCAAGCTTAATGCTCAGAAGGGAATTAAACTCCTTAAAACTGAGAGAGTGTTATATAATGCTGAGAATTAAGGGAGAAGTAGCAAGTCTGAGTTAAGAAACCATGTTTTCCTGAACCCATCTTAACCTTCAGGGTCTCCAAGGTTCACAAGCATCTCTAGAACTCTCTGTTTACTCTCCCACTTTCTTCTTTATTAGCAATGCTGCTATTCCATCTTTAGGACCACTGCCAGACCAAAACTTCCTGAAAAGGTAATTTCCCTTCATCTCTTAAAGCTTTCTTGTCCTTGTTTTCCCAATCCATCTTCCTTTTCTTCTCTTTCTTTACTTCAATGTGCTGAAGGCACTTTTAGCTGGTGGTATATTAGGCAAATTTTGTTGCAGTAACAACCCCAAATTTTAATGATTTATGAAAATGAATCATTTCTCAGTCCTGGGACTGTAGGTCAGCTGCGCCTCAGCTGTGTCTCACCTAAACTTTTTGGCTTCCTCTAGACTTGATGGGGTTTGGTTGTAAGCTTCAGGTCAGATTCAAGTCTGCTTTGTGTGTTTTTCATTCTGAGACCCAGGCTGAAGAAGCAGTGGCCGCCTGGGGCATCCTTTTCTTATGGAGAGTAGCAGGAGTGCCAGACAGGAAGCGAAAAGACATAATGCCTCTGAGTCTCTCTTTGTGCTGGCATGCCACCATTGTGCCACACCCCATTCTTCAGTCAACGCACATCCTATGGCCCAGCCCAAGGTCAAGGGATGGGGAGATGTACTCCATTCAGGAGGGTGGACCAGGAACATGAAGACTGACTGAAGAATAATATAATCTACAATAGATGGGAGAAGGTGGAGTACAGTGATCCCTCAATCACTCATATAAAGAAACATAAAATAGTTCTCCAACATTTATTATGCTAGGGATGCTCTGCCCTTATTTCAGCACTCAAGGTTGCCTCAACTTCTCTGGAAAGAGAAGGTGGACAGAAATATAACTGGTCAATAGTCATCATAATAATGCTTGGAATTTATTGTGCAACTGCCACGTGCACAGTTACTTTACATATATTCATGTAATGAGTACCCATATTGGACTGCAACAAATGTAACTTTCTATGACTAAACTTAATTTCTATTTCAGTTTCTGTTTAGTGCTCTCATTCCAAAGCGTTTCAGAAATCTAATTTTTTTTTTTTTTTTTTGAGACGGAGTCCCGCTCTGTCACCCAGGCTAGAGTGCAGTGGCTCGGTCTCGGCTCACTGCAAGCTCCGCCTCCTGGGATCACACCATTCTCCTGCCTCAGCCTTCCGAGTAGCTGGAACTACAGGCGCCCGCCACCACGCCCGGCTAATTTTTTGTATTTTTAGTAGGGACGGGGTTTCACCGTGTTAGCCAGGATGGTCTCAGTCTCTTGACCTCGTGATCCGCCCGCCTCGGCCTCCCAAAGTGCTGGGATTACAGGCGTGAGCCACCGCGCCCAGCCCAGAAATCTAATCTTTTTCCCCGCAAGGGTGGAGGTGGTGGGGCGGGGCGTGGCGTGGTTATCACCTGTCGGTGCCGGCGTGGTCCTGTGCGTCCTCTCTCCTGCCTGGCCTCCAGTCATCCATGTGTGTAGTACTACCGCTGCCCCCACCTCATCCTGATGAGGCCCTGTGGATCTGGCTCTCTTCGTCACTCCTTTGCCCTTCTGGGGAGCAGGGACAATATCTGGCTGTGTTGGCCCAGTCCCTTTCTGCCTTGCTATGCCACCTAGCAATTTCTGCTCTATTGCTTCCCACCATGCTGGGCTCAAGGGACTTTGAGGTCTTATGGTCTTCGAAGGTTTCACACATGTTCTTGGGTCTTTAAAGCTATTGGGGTTCCTATCAGTCATCCTTTTCTCAGTTGGCTTGGCCCAAGATGGGGTGGAGAGGAGCAGGAGGCAGCGCTTTTTCTGGAACCATATTGCAATGATTAACTCTCTTGATTCTTATCAGTCTCTTCTCTCAATCCGTGGAACTGTTTCTGGGTTCAACTGGGGTGATTTGGCTTTATGGAGTGTTCCCAAATGTGTGGTTTATGAGATAATTTTATGTCCTGATACCTTCATATTTATCGCAGGTGAGAAAGTTCATTTTGAGGCAGATGAAGTCACTCTCCAACCTTGACTTAGTGAAGAAGTGGAAAAAGGAGAATTTGTAGGATTCAAAAGCTGAAACTTTCTCCTCTAGGCTAAACTGGCTCTACAAAAAAAGCAAGTTTTAAGCAGAAAAGGGCAAAATAGGGATAGTTTTAGTTCGAGCTGCTATAACAGAAATACTAGAGACTGGGTGGCTTATAAATGACATCGTTGCTCACAGTTCTGGAGGCTGGGAAGTCCAAGATCAAGGTGCTGGCAAATTCAGTACCCGGTGAGGACCTTCTTCCAGGTTTATAGATGGCATCCTCTCACTATGTCCTCACATGGTAGAAGCAGCAAGAGTGTGCTCTCTGGCCTCTTTTAGAAGGGTATTGATCTCATTCATGAGGGCTTCCCCTTCATGACCTAATCGCTTCCCAAAGGCCCCACCTCCTAATACATATTGATACATGAATTTGGTGGCAAGGGGAGAGACACAAACTTTCAGTCCCTAACAGGGATCTTCTGGCATCTCAACCCTAGTAGGAAGATTGCAGTAACTTGTGTGGGACCAAATCGAGAATTTCTAACAGGATCTTCTGTTGGGTGTTGGGGAGATGGCCTCAGTTTGGGGGGCAAAGTGGAGATTGAGCATATTCAGCTCTTGTTTTTAAGACTACAGAACACATTCCAGATAGAGAGAGTTTGAGACAAAATCCACACCCACCCCGCTCCCAAAACTGGATCCACAGAGGTCCAACACAGTGGTGAGAGGCTACGCTGAACTCACTGACTGTGCAGCCTTGGAGTTTGGGAAACAGACTTAGGTTTCTGTGTGCCTAGAAAGCATGTATAAACAGTACGACCCCTCTCAGTTTCTGAAAAGATCTGATACATGTCAAACACCCATTCCATCATCTCTGGTCCTGCCTTAAGTAGTGCTTCTTCAATTTCAAGAGATGTTACTCCATAGCCGAGCATTGACTGGGTAATAAACTTTTGTGACTTGTAATAAAAGGTGTGTTCACACACACACACATGCAGGCGCACACACACGTTGTCTACATAAATGATTGACTTGGGCAAGGCATCTCATTCTCTTTATTTTCTGTTGGAACCACATAATTTTCTTTTCTCTCACTCTTGGTTTCTCTCTCATGTGTCATGCATTGTGGTGTTATAACTAAGTACTATTCTTGCTATTATCACCAAGGAATAGGGAATAGAAAATCAGGCTTTTTTTTTTTTTTGGTATAACTGTTCTCCTTTTTTCAGCCTCAATGCATTTTGAAAGAAGTTGGAAGTTAGAACACTTTCTGAAGTATGACTGTTTGCTTGTTACTTAGCTTGTCTGATCCTTGTAAAATAGGAATAATGGGAATATTGACTGGGGAGAAAAAGGGGAGATGCAAATCTGCACACGTGACATCATCCTATTTATGTTAAAATATATACATAGAGACTTACTAGCATAAAATATGCCAAGATATTCATGGTGGTTATCTCTGGGCTGTGAGATGATGGACAAATCTGAATTTCTTCCTTATATCACCCAGTTTGATTGCTCTTTTCACTAAATTTGTTCCCAAATGACTTTTTCTGTTTCCAAAATCGTATTCATTCCCAAAGGACAAAGAGTTGCTGCCTTTAATAATATATTTTTTTAAATGGCTTTGAAGGAAATCATAAAAAGATTTTCAGCACAGTTTTGACCACTGGCAATTCTTTGGAATAAATGAATAAGGTGGCTGATTTGAAGGAACAAGATTCACTTTGACGTATAATTTCTGGAATATTGCAAAATCAGTTGTGGTGCTTTGATAGCTATGCCCATACTTGGAAGGAAAGCAGGCTTATCCCATTGTTCTTTTGGTGTTTTTTTGAACTCCAGATCAATATAACATGCGATTGTAGTAATCTGACCAGTCATCTGGAAAGTTCCAGTATATGAAAAGTAGATTTGTATTTAAAAAAAAAAAAACACCCTTTCATTGAATGCTTTAATATAAAACAAACCTTCCTGACTTGTTTTATAAAAAGAGGAACTATACTACATTTGAAACTAAACTGTGGGAAAAAAAATGTGGTTCTGAAGAATATTCTCTGGTCTTAAATAGAGAATATGAAAATCAAATATGATCAGCTGTCATACACAAAAGTGTATTTTATTAATAAAAATGAAACAGAGCACTGTAAAATAGGAAGTAAACATTAGCTTTACACAAGGTTTTGCTTCATAGTCCTTTTAAACTTAATCTTCGCCAAAGGCTGAGAAGCGATTCACAGGCCTTTTAAATAGGTGGCTTCACTATCTCTCACTTATTTCTATTGATGTATTTTGGCTGGGAAAGAGAAATGCTTATATTCAATATCTATGGAATTGAGAATTTGAATATTATCTTTATCAAAAAAGATAAGGCATATGACATTGAGTATTAATAGATCAGAAATATTTATTTGATTGACAACTCAGTTACTTTTGCTTCTCCAATGGACACTCCATAAATATTCGAATGCGTCTTATGTCTACTGTGTGCATAGCCTTATGCTAATTCCATGAATGCAATGGTGATGTGTTTCCAGCTAACATCTGGAAGCCTTATTCTGCCAAAGATGAGAGATCACGGTACAGAATGTTCCTAATAAGAGTATTTTATTATCCATCCTGTACTCGCATGGTCCCTGTTCTCAATGACTTTATAGTCTTGTTGATAAGGTTTCAAACATGCAAGTATTGAGTAATATGTCAGACTGACTTCTAGAAAACGTTTTATTGACTATGATCAGGGGCCCAAATATAGGACACCAAAAAGAAGGATTTAGGGTGGACAAGTTGTAGAGAAGCTAAAGGAACCAAGGAAGGTGTCACAAAAGAGGTGGTTTGAGGAGTGTGTGATGCAAGGATAGGGTAATAATTCATCTCTAGTCTAAATCAGACCTTATTTTGGCAATTTTATTAGTCATCAACTACCGCAATAATGTATAACAAATAATGCCCCAAGTCTCACTGGCTGACGCCACAAACATTCATTTTTTTATTCACAGGTCTGTGGATTGGCAGGGACTCAGCTGATCTTGGCTGGGCTCCACTGGGCATGGCTCCAGGCTCCAGGTCTACTTTGGGCCTGCTTTATATATTTTGTTCTGGAACTGGCACCACCTGGGGCATAGTCTTCTTACGGTGATGGCGGAAATACAACAGGCCAAGTCAAATCATGCAAGCACATTTAAAGCCTCTTTTACATCATTTCCACTAGCGTCTGTTATTCAAGGCAAAGCCTGTGGCTGAGCCAAGCTTCCATGGGGTGAGGAAAAACACTGCACTCATTCTAGTGAGAGCCACTGCAAAGTCACATGGCAAAGGTCACGGGTGTAGAATTCTGTAACAGAGAGAGAGTGAAGAATGGGAAACAAAAATTCAATGTACCCCAGTCACATTTTTGAAAAAAATAGTGGAAAAATTGCAAACAGTATAGATTAAAAAAACAACAACAACAAAACCTGCACAGTACAGGAACCAAGTGAAGAATGTAGGTGGAGATAATTGTGTTTAGCTGGCCTGAAATGAAAAGACTAATAGTCACTTCCACCACTATCTTTGAGTTTGCAAGTTTGTGAGGGGCCTAATGCTGACTAGTGGACCCTCCTGGCTGAAAAAAAAAAGACAGTAGACTGGAGTTAAATGAGAACTCAAGTTGCGAGAAAAATCTTCCCTCTTTGGGAGATAAAGCCCTGGCAGCAAGAACTGAAGGAGGTAGAGTACTATTTCTGCATCTTCAGGGAGAGCTGCAAGGAGAGGGAGCTGTGTCTTGTCTCACTGAGGTGCCTGGACAAGATGAACATTTCAGGTCTTTTTCAGTTCTAGGTTTCTATGATGTCAGTGCTACTTCCCTTTCCAAAACCCCACAGTGGCCAGGCATCACAGTGCCACAAGTGAAAAGACCCATGACTGCCTTTATAAGTAAGTTCTTCTTTTGGTTTCTCTGGCAGGAGGCAGATGGAGGAGGAGAGAAAGGCCAGAGGTCTGTTTTGGGGTTGTTGTCTCTGGTTGTCTAAGTCATGCCAAGACACCACCCCTTGGAGCCTGGTTCCTGACATCCGGCAGCATGGCATACTTGAAGGGCATGATGTGGGGATAACAACAGAGCCCTGGCTGAGTCCGGTGGCTCACGCCTGTAATCCCAGCACTTTGGGAGGCCGAGGCAGGCGGATCACCTGAGGTCAGGAGTTTGAGACCAGCCTGGTCCACGTGACAAAACCCTGTCTCTACTGAAAATACAAAAAAAGTTTGCCGGGCATGGTGGCACACACACACACACGCACGCACACACACACACACATGCCCCCATAAGCATCCCAGTATTTGGAAGCAATCAGTTGATTTTTTTTCTTTTTAGAATTCAGTTTGGTGTTATAGGGACACTGCTAGCCTCAGGCAGTGCCGCAAGAGCAGATCAAGGCTCTGATTAAAAAATTCCTCAGTTGCTCCCAGCTGGAGATGTCTGCTTACAAAGCCCTTACAAAGAAATGTTTTTCAATAGGCAACATTCTCTGGTCTGGCCCCACCAAGGAAGTACAGCAGGAAATCTCACAGGCATCCCGATTGCCATTGCCCTCCTGCTCCCAGACACACACTTGGCCCCAACTGGCCTCTGACATGCTCCATGGGGAGCAAAATGGACTTGCTCCATTTTATCCATTGCTCTGGGCTCCACGGTGTTAAGCATGATGGCTTGGAAACTCTATATACCCAGTAAATGAATGCTTGTTGAATAACTTAATGAACACACCCCATGTCAGCCTATCTCCTCAATGCACATCCGCCAGCCACCTCAGCTCAGGCACCTCGCTGATTTTCAAAACATGGGCTAAAAGCTACCATAGGGCATCTAATTATACCTTCTGGTGTAGAAGGTGTTCTCTCATAGGAGGCCTTAGCCAAGTTTGAGAACAAGGACTTTGTATGGAATGAGCTGCATAATGGACAGCACTGGCTGGACCAGCCATTGGGGGTGTCTCTGGCTGAAATTTAACAAAGTTTCCATAGACCTTTTACCAGATTTACTGAGAATGTTGATTTCCTCTATTAAAGCTTAAACGTCAATTCAGGGGAATTTCCCCATAAATGTTGTGAGACTAAACGTGGCTTCTTGTGGGTTCCACATGGGAGCTCACCAGGATGTTGCCCAGCCTTTGTAAAGGTCTGCCTGGTTTCCTGTACCTAGTGGTCAACGTCAGCAGCTGTACCTGTGCCCAGCATTGGGAGGCTCGTCCTCGGCCCTCACCCGGCCATAGGCAGTCAACATCACTAGTTCTCCCCTGCTTAGCACCCAGTGGCTGCCTTTTTGGCCTCTAAACTTGCTTCCCTGTGTTCTTGATCCCTGAAGCTCACCACTGGTCCACCTGCCAATTACTCACTTTAATCTTATCAGAGTAGATACCCAGGTTTTACATTTCACCCAACAGAACTTGAGTCCTAATTCTCATTTCCTTCCTTTCATCCATGAGCTTTACATGGGAATTTGCATTTACAGTTATGCCTGTGAATTCAGAGGCCTCCCCTGGACCAGGCGGTCATGTGCTGAGTGAGGCGGGTGACCAGCTTGGAAGCCAGGGCGGGAAGTTCGCATGGCCCTCTGGGTGAATCCTTTGCTTCCCTGCTTTGGAAGACAGCTGGCTGCAGAGCAAGAGTTCTCTTGTGTGAGGCCCATGGCAGTGTCGGACCCTAAATGGCCATTGGAACACACCCCCAGGTTTCTAGCTGCACTGGGTAGGGGTGGGTGAAGGAGAACTGAGGGCGCGTCAGCCTCTCCTGCCTGGACAAAAAGGCATGTAGGTCACAGTTCTCCCCAGGTGTTCTCAAGTCTTGCTTGTTTGTTGTCAAGAGAAGGCAGAATTCTGCCTTGAAAAAAACCTCTGTGATGGCCATTTAAACAGCCTGTGGATTGTTTCCAGGCCTGAGCACTGCTGGAGGAGGATGCTGGCTTACAGAGGCCTCTCCAAAGCATCAGTCTTTGGACTCCCAGGAGCACTATTATTAGCCTCCCTTCACATTCAGAAGGCGCCCACCCACAAGAGTGGGTGGATATCAGGGTCTGGGCCCACATCTTCTGACTCCAAGTCTGTGTATCTTGCTACCATGCAGCTGATTTCCCAGTTGCTGAGTTTTCTCTGTGCACATCTTGATGGCTGATACCTGTAATAACAGAAACTTCGTTCAACTCTCATAAACCCTGAGTCTGGAGGTCTGGGACATATTAGGCCATACGAGGGGGCTTAGCTTGCTTTCTGTCTCTTTCTCTTCCACCTGGAACATAAGTTGTCCCCTAGGTGAAGGCCGTCTGCCACACTGACTGTGTAATCTGAACTTGGAGCCAGAGGTTCTGAGTCTTAGCGCCGCCCTTGCTATTATCTTCCAGCATGATTTTTGGGCTTGTGCTTTCACTCTACTGAGACTCAGATTCCACACCAATAATAGAGAGATTTGAACTAATGTATCCATTGAGATGGTTTGAATGCATGTTACAGAAAACCTAACTCAAGCAGGCATAGGCAAGAACTTGAAATAATTAGTTCATGCAATTCATTAAAAAGGGCAGGGGCTTGATCCAGGGGCTTGAACAATATTTCAGGAACTGGTCTGTTCCCCTCTTAGCATTGCTCTCTTCCTTCCATTTCGGCTTCATTTCAAGGCTCCACATGATGCCAAGAGGGCTGCTGGTTACTCCAGGTCTACTACCTCCCAGATGCTAGTGCAAGGAAAAAGAGGAAGATGGCCTCTAACAGTGGCAGCTAAAGGCTATGAAAAATCACTGACTCAGTTGTGTTAAGCGCCCACCCCTAGGCCAGGCCCCATGGCCAGAGAAATGTGGTACTCCGAATGGACAGGACTGTCACATGCCCACCCCACATATGGGTGGGGCCCATGAAACACACATGGGAAAAGGATGTGGGATGCGTGCTTTCCCCCCAAAAAAGCAGGGCATGGTTGCCCAAAGAATGGCAAATAGGTACTGGGTGTTAAGCTTCATTACTGATTTAATTTTATTGTTTGCCAGGTAGAATGTGAACATGCTTTCAAAAGTCAAAACAATATAGAAAAGCATGCTCAGGCTGGGCCCAGTGGCTCATGCCTGTAATCCCAGCACTTTGGGAGGCCGAGGCAGGCAGATCACCTGAGGTCAGGAGTTCGAGACTAGCCTGGCCAACATGGTGAAACCTCATCTCTACTAAAAGTACAAAAATTAGCTGGGTGTGGTGGCCAGTGCCTGTAATCCCGGCTACTCGGGAGGCTGAGGCAGGAGAATTGCTTGAACCTGGGAGGCAGAGGTTGCAGTGAGCCAAGATCTACCACTGCACTCCAGTCTGGGCAATAAAAGTGAAACTCTGTCGAAAGAAAGAAAGAAAGAGAGAGAGAGAGAGAGAGAGAGAGGAAGGAAGGAAGGAAGGAAGGAAGGAAGGAAGGAAGGAAGGAAGGGAGGGAGGGAGGGAGGGAGGGAGGGAGGGAATTAAAAAGAAAAGCGTGCTTTTTCCATCCTATTCCCTCATACTCCTTAGAGGAAAACAACTACAAGATTTTTTGGATTTTTCTTCCCATGTTTCTTTTTGTAGAGAGAAGCTCAAGAAGCTTGTCTTTGTAGAGACAATATGGGTGGATCACGAGGTCAGGAGATCGAGACCATCCTAGCTAACACGGTGAAACCCTGTCTCTACTAAAAATACAAAAACAAAAAATTAGCTGGGCATGGTGGTGGGCGCCTGTAGTTCCAGCTACTCGGGAGGCTGAGGCAGGAGAATGGTGTGAACCCGGGAGGCGGAACTTGCATTGAGCCGAGATCGCGCCACTGCACTCCAGCCTGGGCGACAGAGCGAGACTCCGTCTCCCCCCCAAAAAAAAGAATACTCAAGTCTCATTATTTCCCTTCTTTCTTCACAAAAGATATCCCACTCTATATACTCTTTTGTACCTTGCCTTTTCACTTAACAGCGTCTCCTGGAAATCATTCCATATCATTTCACAGGGATCTTCCGCATACTTTTTATATCTGCTTAGTACCTCATTGCATGTGTGTACCATATTTTATTCAAGTACTCTATACTTAGGCATTTAGGTAGCTTCCAATATTTTGCAATTATAAAAAATTGCTGCAATGAATAACCTTGGGCATTTGTATTTTTACGTAGTGGAAGGGATATATTTGGGGCAAATTTACAGAAGTGGAATTGCTGAGTGGAAGGGTACATGCATACGTGGTTTTGTTAGATGTTGCTGAGTTCATCTCCACAGGGGTTGTGCCGTATCACAGTCCCACCTGCAATGTACCAGAGAGCCTTTTTCCTTAGCCTCACCAACAGTGCGTATTGTTAAGCTTTTGAACTTTTTTTTTTTTTTTTGCCAATTCAATGAGTTAAAAATGTGCATTTAATTTACATTTTACTATAAGTTTTTTTTTTTTTTTTTTTTTTTTTTTTTTTTTTTTTTTTTTTGAGGCAGAGTCTCACCCTGTTTCCCAGGCTGGAGTGCAGTGGTGCAATCTCGGCTGACTGCAACCAACCTCCGCCTCCCGGGTTCAAGTGATTCTCCTGCCTCAGCCTCTTGAGTAGCTGGGATTACAGGCGCCCGCCATCACACCCGGCTAATTTTTTTATTTTAAGTAGAGACGGGGTTTCGTCATGTTGACCAGGCTGTTCTTCAACTGCTGACCTCAGGTGATCTGCCTCCCTCGGCTTCCCAGAGTGCTGGGATTACAGGCGTGGGTCACCGTACCCAGCCCTAGTATAAGTAAATTTGAACACATTTTCGTATGTTTAAGGACCGGTGTTATTTCTCTTTTAATGAATTATCTGTTCATGTATTTTGTCTATTTTTCTTTAGGATTTTTAGAAGTTTTAGAATTTTAAAACCTTATGATCTGCATCTGCAAATATTTTTCTGGTCAGTTTTCATCGTGTTTTGACTATGTTTATGCCTTTTTAAAAAAAAAAACTTTTTTTTTTGTGGTGATATTTACCGGTCTTTCCTTTGTAGCCTCTGGATTTTGGTCATATTAAAAAATCTTTTCCTATCCAGGTTATACAGGAGTTCACCCATGTTCTATTCTAGTACTTTTATAGTTTCATTTTGCATCTAGGTCTCTGATTCATTTGGCAATTATTCCTGTGATAGTGTGAGAAATAGATATTATTTTATTTTTTTTTTCAAATGACTATTCAGTTGTTTGAGTACCCTGTGTTAAGAAGACTATCTTTGCCTCAGTGATTTGGGGATATTTGGGCATAGCACTTTTACATAACTTGGATTTCTATAAGCATTTGGGTCTACTTCTTGACTTTTTATTTTATTTAATTGATCTTTCTGAATTTTTATGAGTTAGTACCACACTATTTTCATTATAGGGGCTTCACAGTGTGTACTAATATAATGTAGAACCACTCCTTGTTCAGATATAATTTTTTTTTTTTGAGACAGGGTCTCACTCTGTCATCCAGGCTGGAATGCAATGGTGGGATCTCAGTTTACTGCAGCCTCAACCTCCTGGGCTCAAGTGATTTGCCCACCTCAGTCCCCAGAGTTGGTGGGACTACAGGCATGCACCACCATGCCTGGCTGATTTTTTTTGTAGAGGTGGGGTCTCACTATGTTGCCCAGGCTGGTCTCAAACTCCTGGGCTCAAGTGTTCTGCCCCCCTCAGCCTCCCAAAGTGCTGGGATTACAGGCACTGCATTTGGCCCAGATAGAATTTTTTTAAACATAGGAGTTATTGTAGAATATATGTAGGCTGATGAGTATAAGCAAGTAGCGAGTTGGGTCAAGAGAGAGAGGAGATGGTTGCAAAGTCCTTCAGTAGGCACAAGTGGAGAGGTCTTGGAAAGGAGCCAGATAACACAGATTCAGGAAGTTGGTAGATTTGTTGATGAGAAGAATTCTCTTCTGATTTTGTTTTCTGGTGAAATAAAAACCAAGGTCAACAGCTGAGTAGGGAGAGGAAAGAAGATGAGAAATAGTCATCTTGCGCAGGGGGATTGCGGAGTGAGTTGACTGAGGAACTACCCAGATGGTGCTGGGGCCCACTTGAATTTTATGGCCATACATATAAAGGAAGAAGTAGGCACAGTTATGTGTTTTCCACCAGCCTTGTACATGGCTTAGGTTTGGGAGCTGACTAGGCAAGGAGGTAAGTGTAAGCAGACTTGGGGTGTTAGCCTCACAAGTATGACAGATGGGACAAGGGGTTAAGTGTGGAAGGACATGGATGCAAGGGAGCAGAATGATGGGCCCTGGATCCAAGCTGGGTAAGAGGGACAGATGTGAAAAAGATGATAGTGCCAATGGATCAGAGATCCCAAGAAATGCTGGAGTCTATGCAAGGGGAAGCAATGACCCTGGATATTGATCTAGGAAATGATCTTGGGAGTGGGTGGATAAAGTGGGATAGAAGAAAAGATGTCAACAAGGAGATAAGAAACAGAAGGGCCAGAATGTAGGGTGGGTTGTCTTTGTAGTTGTGATGACAGTGGGGGTGGCAGAGAGACAGTGAGCCAGATCCTGAACTCTTGATGAACAGGGGCAGTGGCTGGGAGGCTAGAGATGACTGCCGTAGCATCATCATCATGTAGATGAGAGCGGGTAGCCAGTGGCATCTGAATCAATCGTTCTTCAAGGACGTGCAGAATTGCAGCACCAGGAAGTCCTAGTCTGTTACTCCCAGATATCTCCCCACACCCCGTTTCAGTCTATTTCCCTGGTAACCTTCCAGGGTTGGATTTAATTGTGAAGTCTGAGTCTAAGAGGATTGTCTAAGAGATTTGTCTGTAGAGCTTACCATTTCTTAAAACCCAGAGGCAGAGATCATAGACAGCCCTTTATGAGGGGCTGACATGACTGGGATTCCTCTGCAGTGTAGACCAGAAGAATGAATAGTACATTCAGTGTCATAATGGAACTCAGAGCCTAGACCCTGAAAGAGTCAAATAGACAAAACCTGGATCAAACCACAGGGATCCCTGCCTACCTGAGCAGCCTGCCCTGGGTCCCAAATTAAAGCCTCAGCTCTTTTCTCCAAGAGCTCCCAAGAGTTGAAAAACACCCTCCTGCTTCAAGCTTCCTTTCCCATGCAGACTTCTTGAGAATCCCAAAACATTTGAAGCCAGATTCTGAAGACTATAAGTGTCCCTGCCAGGTGAACTTAACCTGGGCACCCTCGGAAGGCAACACTTTCCTAACCAGCCCTGTTTAATCGGTGACTCCAGTGTTGCTTTGGCTATGCCACTGAAGTTGATCTTACCTGGGGACCCAAGGAAGGAAGGGTCCCCAGTCTTTCTGAAGGGAAAATAGATACTGTTAAGGAAATCAGTCTTTCAGGGAGCAGAAATAATTAATGGACTTAGGATGAGGTCCATGTATGAGGTGACAAATGGTGTGTATGGGATGTAAGAGCTGGGTATTTACTAAGAATTAAAGGTGATGGTCTATGACTAGTTAAGATGTTAGAAATAAAGTTCAGATTCTTTTTTTTTTTTTTGAGACAGTTTCACTCTTGTTGCCCAATCTGAAGTGCAATGGCACGGTCTTGGCTCACTGCAACCTCTGCCTCCCGGGTTCAAGCAATTCTCCTGCCTCAGCCTCCCAAGTAGCTGGGATTACAGTCATGTGCCACCATGCCCAGCTAATATTTTTCTTTTTGTATTTTTAGTGGAGACGGGATTTTGCCATGTTGACCAGGCTGGTCTCGAACTCCTGACCTCAGATGATCCTCCTGCCTCAGCCTCCCAAAGTGCTGGGATTACAGGCGTGAGCCACTGCACTTGGCTAGATTCATTTTTTTAGTCATAGCTGTATAATAATAATTTGGAAGTTGACATCTGTCTTTTTGGGGTAGAAAAAAAGTGCACCCTGGACTTGGGATCCCCTGACCCAGCTCACACAGGAAGGAGAGGAGAACAGGTGAGAAAGGCCACCTCTGTTTCCATGCCATGTCTCAGGAGGTCCTTGTGAAGGAGAGGCAATGTCCCACCACCAGCTCTTACTCTCAGGACTGGGTTCCAAGGTTGATGGACAGGGTCTAGACAATAGAGAAGAGGGTAGTGGTGACAGAGCTGAGGCTGGAGACATTCACCCATTCCTCCAAGTTCCTCTGCTCACAGAGAGAGAAGTGATGCTTGGGGATTACCAGCCCTGAATCCCCATCTGCAAGAGATGCCTCAGATCTTGAGGAAACACGCATACACAAACACGCGGAGAAAGAGAGACACACACACATATCCATATGTTCACAACCACATATATACCCACTCTCATATAGGCATGTCCTCAAATGCACAAATCTGGAGTTGCAGCTCTTCTCATCCAGACACAGGCAGCAGCCCAGGACCCTCCGATTGCTCAGTAACCTGAGGTCATGGGGGGGATAAAGGAGCCTTATCACTTAGATAACATGTTTTGAACCCAAACACCAACAGTCAATGGATAAATAAAGTATTTTATTTAAATACCAGTCCTTTGATAAATAAAGGCTATCGAAATCAGCTTGAGGTCTTGGGGACTGAGTCTGACCCAGGCAGAGACCCCGTGGGAAGTCCTCTGGCTCAGCTGGGTGGTCTTGGTCCTGCCTGACTCTGGCCTAGTTGCCCCGAGTCCTCAGGGTCAGGAGTCAGACCTTGCTCCCCAGCCTGACTTTCCTGTGCCCAGTCTTAGCCCCTGGCACACACTCTCACATCCTTGATGCTGGTCTCCCACCTTCCTGGGCCCTCCTCACACCCTCACTGCCTGCCCCATTCCTGCTTGGACCAAATGGCCACACTCAGAGCCCGATGAGATCTTGGCTTTTGCTACCAGACATCTGACCCCTCTCTTTCCTGGCAGGCTGGCCTCCTTGTACAGATCTACTTTCTGGACTCATGTACCCACACAAGCCTGCCTTTGGAATGGTAGAGAGTTGACTGTGCTATCATGTTTGAATCTTCAGGGAAGGTCTATTCGGCTGGCCATGAGACATGAGAAAGGCTGCCTTTACCTTTGCGACATCATAATCTTCTCATGTAAGTTACTGAAAATACCGTTGTCAAGGAGCTTTCACTTGTTTTCTTCCCTATCATGGAAGTGACCAGAGACAAAGTTGAACTCGCTCTTCCCTTTTGGCTTGATGCTGACCTGTGGTACCTAGAGGGCATTTATAGAATGTCCTATAAAAATTCTGTAGGGTATTAAAAGAGGATGGGGATAGGGGGCTCCTCACTGGCCTCATGACATAGTGACATCCCACAAAGGGAGAAGGTGTAATTGTGGAACACAGTATTCAAAATCTGGAATGTTCAAGACATATGCCTACCATATCTAACAGTAGTCTCTTGGGTCAGACATATCTGGGCATCAATTTCCTCATGTGTACTAGTGGACGTTTTAATATCACCTGTCAGAATCATCATAAGGATTAAATGGTGTGATGTGTATGTCTGGTTAGTATCACTCAGTGGATGTTTGTTTCTTTTGTCTTACTGGTACCAGTAGAATGTGCTTTCAGTGGCATTGTTGATATACATTCTTAAAAATAAAACCCTTAGGCAAGCTTAGGTGCTTTTTCATATGAAGTGGGCTTGCTCCCATTGCAGGTAGAGATAAACGCTCTGTCATTTCTGCTGTTCCTGCCGGCAGCTGCGCTCAGGTCTGTGCACGTGGGGGAGACCTTCCCTGGCCTTCCTCAGAACCATCATGTCTGCAGCATCCCCAGGGCTACAAGACAGCAAGGAAGTGAGGAAGAGCAAGCAACAACCTGGTGCTAAACAAATATCAGCTTACAAGTGACTTGTCTCAGGAATAATTCTTGCACCTGTAGAGCAGACAGCCCATATCAGGACCAGTGACTGGGGAATAAACACCCTGAAAGGCAGTCGTAGGACTTACTGACAGCTCTACTGTGTCCACAGCTGATGTCCACCTTAGAGAAAAAACTAGGTGCTGATGTCCATAGCTTTTAGTCACAAACAGAAAAGAAGCCCACCTCTCGCTTTTCTGTTTCAAAGAGCAAAATTCTGCAAACACAGTTGAGGGTCAGTGTTTGGGGCAATG
This sequence comes from Homo sapiens, assembly GCF_000001405.40. NCBI lineage: Eukaryota > Metazoa > Chordata > Mammalia > Primates > Hominidae > Homo > Homo sapiens. The sequence goes on from NC_000006.12 coordinate 14,104,479, forward strand.
CCTAGTGAGGGGTGAGCGTATGGAGGGCTATGTTAGCACCTCCCACCTTGCTCCTGAGCCCCAGGCAGAGGCTACTCATGTGCTGCCGCTGATGTTGCTTGAATTCCTGAAACATTCTGCAGCACCCTACAGAGAGGTATACATGTAAATTACTTTGATCCTTGCCGGATTATTACGGGTGTTACACCCCCACCATTGAAAACTGTTAACAAATCATTTCAGAACCCTCAAGTGGCCCCATTAAGCTGTGATAGGAACAGCCACGGGCCAAATAACGGTGAAGAAGTTTGTCTTTGGTATCCCCTTGTTATGCCTGCTCTCCTCTTTGTGTGATTTTTCCTCTCTGAGCTAAAACCCATCACCCAGCCACGCACAAGGAACTGGTCACCTCATGCTGACCCTGGCCATCAAGCGTCCTCTCCTTAAGGTCCCAGACAAGCCTGCTGCCACCAGATGTTGTATATCATGACATAAATGAGAGGTTGCATACAGACAGCCATAGGTGTGTTTGGTTTGTCTTGCAAAAGTGTTTTGAACAAAAATCAACCATTTGCAGCATTTAAGAGATTTCATATAATATCTATATCCAATCCTCTGAAAAAAAAACTTGAAAGATTTGACGTTGGTTGACATTTTCCCATTAGCAACAATTGGTGGGAGCTAAGTGGTGGCTTCTCTTAGTTGGGTGATTACTGTCCAGTTTGCCATAGTCCTCACTACTCTCTGTTGCTTTTCTTCTCACATGGTTCACATTTATTGTCAGGTAACTGGCTTTCTTTGTTCCCTCACATAACCCTTCTGGCCCTGTAGGTAACTGGATTTGCAATCACTGCTTTAGATCTTGCAAGCCTCCTCCCTCATCACCTGCTTTCATCCAAACTTCGTCAACTTGTGCCCATTTTCTCAAGCTACCCTGTTTTTGACAGCCAAAGGAGCTCTAATAGGATCAGCAAACTTATGGAAAAATATAAATGGTCCTTAAGGGTTTGATATCTTTATCAGTTAATTATACCCATGATAATGCTGCTTAAAAACCAATCACAAAATCTCAGCAGCATATAGCAGAAGGCATTTATGGAGTTCAGATAGTCAGCCCACGAGATGAAGGCTGGCTCTAGGCTGGGTTCAGATTGGGGATGGGTTGACTTTGCACCATATGTTTCTCATATTCTTCCTGGCACAAATGGGCTAGCCTGGACATGTTCTTCTCATGATGATGGTAGAGATGAAGGAGAGAAAGTGGAATTAATACACCTTGATTTCTGCTTCATTCCATGGGCAAGAAGTCACACTACAAACTGTATGAAGCACCCTTGACATAAGTGACTCCATCTTAGAAAAAAACTCCATCTTACATTTCATAGGGCACTTGCCAATAGGGACAAGATATTTTGCTTAATAAATAAATTAATAAGTAAAGACTGCAACCAACCAGATAAGGACATAAATAAGCACAATCTTCCACTATCATTCTTCACCAGAGGACACTGCAGCCATAAAAAGGGCAGGAGGAGGACTTCAGCGCTTGAAACAGTGGTTTTTTGTTTGTTTGTTTTGTTTTGTTTTGAGATGGAGTTTTGCTCTTATTGCCCAGGCTGGAGTATAGTGGTGCGATCTCAGCTCACTGCAACCTCTGCCCCATGGGTTCAAACAATTCTCCTGCCTCAGCGTCCTGAGTAGCTGGGATTAAAAGCGCGTGCCACCACGTCCAGCTAATTTTTGTATTTTTAGTAGAGATGGGGTTTCACCATGTTGGCCAGGCTGGTCCCGAACTCCTGACCTCTGGTGATCCACCCGCCTCAGCCTCCCAAAGTGCTGGGATTACAGGTGTGAGCCACCACACCCGGCTGAAACAGCTGTCTTAATCAACACTGTCTTGCTGTCACTCAAGATAAGCTCCTTGGCATCTGCCATGAAAGGCTCTGGCATCTGCCACGAAAGGCTCTACCCACATCAAAGGTGTTCCTTGCAAGACCACTGGACTGCCTGGCCCAGACCAGGAGATTCTTTTTGTCTCTGTTGCTCTTCATGGACTGGTTCATTAACCATTTTTTCCCATTTCTTTTCTCTTGATGTTAAATGTTATTTTGTTTGTTGTAGATGTTTAACCCATAACATTTATATATTGATTAGGTGTACTATTATGTATAATTTGCAATATAGAGTGACTTGTGGAGTGGCTTCAGCCTCTGTGCCTGTGACTCTGACTGCCCAGTGAACAGGAAGTGCTAACGAGAATTGCCTCCTTGGGGACCTGATGTAGCTAGTGGCTTTTGTGATTGAAATAGCATCAGTAAAAGTCTGTCAATGTGAAAAGACACAAATGTGCATGGACCTGGTTACCTCTGATCTTGCACCACTCATGAGACAAACCCAAGGTCAAGAGGTGGGGGAGTTATTCCCACCCACAGCTCAAGGGCACAGCAAATTTATAAGGCATGTGTGAGTAAAGAATTAACTCTACCCAGAGAGAGGTCTGACCTTTGCCGTTCACTACTAGGAGGTAACCCCTAGGCTCCTGGAATATCAAGACTGATAGAAATGTCTTTGTTTGTCTAGGGGCATTGGCCACTTGACAGTCTAAAAATATGATTTGCAATGGAGGCATTTGGTGGAGGTGATGTTAGCTCTGCCTTTGGAGGAACTAGAGAATCATGTCAGCCACATGGGCAGTAGTGATTGAGCTGCAATAAAAACTCTGGCCACTGAGGCTCAGGTGAGCATCCCTGCTTGGCAATATTCCATGCATATTGTCACACATCATGGCTGGGAGGAGGTACCACTGTCCATGACTCCATGAAAAGAGGATGCCTGGAACCTCCACATTGGACCTCTCTTGGACTCTGCCCTAGGCTTCTCTTCCTTAGCTGGTTTTAATCTGTATTCTTTCTCTGTAATAAATGGTAACCATGAGTATAACAGCTTTCAGCCACTTCATGAGTCCCTTCAGTGCACTATCATACTCAAGGGTGGCTTTGGGAACCCCTCAAACTTGAATTGATGTTGGAAGCGAGGGTCCCCTGACTTAACGTTTGGCCTCAACTCTCACAGCATGAAAACAAGGTGTGAAAATGAAAGCTGATAATGCAAATTGCCACAATATTTCTCTCAAGTACCTCTGTCTTCATTGATACATTAATTCAGCAAACATTTATTGAGCACCTACTACATGCCCAATGCTATTCTTGGACCTGAGACTAAAGGAAGTGAATAAGACATGGCCTCCACATTCTAATGGAGGAGAAAAAATATAAATAGGCATACAAATATGTGCGATAATGTCAGATTGAGAGAAGTGCTGTGGGGGAAAATTAAGACAAGGTACAGGGATGGTGCAGGGCTTAGATCTTTTAGATAGATGGTCAAGAGAGACTCTTCTGGAAGAGTAACATTTGAACACACTTGGGTGAAATGAATGAGGAAGTTGGGCTGTGATTCTGGGCAAGAAGTTTCTAGAGAGAGGGACAAGCAAGCTCAAAGGTGCAGCAAGAAGCATACAAGCAGGAGATTTCAGCATAGAAGTTCCTGCCTTTAAAAAAAAAAAAAAAAAAGGCAGCCTGGCATGGTGGCTCACGCCTGTAATCCCAGCACTCTGGGAGGCCAAGGCGGGTAGATCACCTGAGGTCAGGAGTTCAAGACCAGCCTGGTCAACACAGTGAAACCCTTTCTCTACAAAAATTAGCTGGGCATGATGGCAGGTGTCTGTAATCCCAGCTACTCGGGAGGCTGAGACAGGAGAATTGCTTGAACCTGGGAGGTGGAGTTTGCAGTGAGCTGAGATCACACCATTAAACTCCAGGCTGGGCAACAGAGCAAGACTTCATCTCAAAAAAGAAAAGAAGAAAAGAGAAGAAAAGAAAAGAGAAGAGAAGAGAAAAGAAGAGGCTTGCTTTACATGGTCCTTGAAGGACTGTGTTGTGCCTGTGGAGAGACTTTCCACTAAGTGCCTCAAATCAAGCCTGAGACCAATATCTCTGTGTTTTGTTTTTGTGTCACTTGCTGGATTATGCGGTTTCTTCCTCATGTTCAACAAAGGAATTGTTTCACCTCCCTCTTTCCTCCTTGGCAGAGGATGGACACTCTCTCTACAGGCTTTTAGTTTCTAAGAGAAAAAAAGAAAGCAAAGACAAAGCACGAGAAATAAGAGTTATTTCTATTTATTTGGTTCATTCGGTGAACAAACAAGCCCATAACTGGAAAGTACAGGGTGACTAAGAAGTAGCCCTCAGGGAAAAACCTGATGGGAAATTTTATTTAAAAACACAATTTACATAGCCACACTTTGGGCTTTCCTTCCAGCCCTTCTGTGGTTCTCAATGGCCCATGGGTGTTCAGGCCTTAACGCTGGGGAGTGCCGCCAGCAGTGGAGGTGTTCGCGAAGGTTCTACTGGCTTGAGGGAAGGGCTGTGGTAATGGGAACCCGAGACCTGGAGGCCAGCAGATAAGAGCTCTCCGCTGGGGAGCAGAGTCAGAAGGGGCTGAGCACAGAAGGCTTGACTCTCAGCCAGAGCTCAACAAGGGGCAGCTGCTGCGGTAGTCCGTGGGCAGGCCTAGGTTAAGTGCGTTCTTTTCACTCAAAAGCCCTTCTCTGGAAAGGAGGCTCAGAAGGCACACTTGGGGCAGAGGGGAACCCCCGCCTTCCCCTTTTACAGAACTTCCTCATCCTGCAGATCAGTCCAGCCAGGAAGTCAGGCTGGGTAGAGAGCTGGGTGCCTGGGAGTACCATGGGTTTTGCCCCCATTGCTGGCAGCAGTCATCAGGTGAGCTATTTCCAGCCTATCACAAACTTCTTTCTGCCTATTTATGATCCATTCAGCATCTGACAGGTGTCTAAGGCAGACAGCAGAAACGTGTTCACTGGCCCCCCTCCCTCGGGACTTTTTCTTAAAGGGCATGCCTTACTCTCATTTCCTTTTTCTCCTAATCCTCTCTCCTCCCCTGAATTCTCCCATCACTAGTTCTCTCCCTCCTTGTAGAACCACCTTCTGCCCCTGCATCCCAGTCCCCCCAGACCCTCAGTGAGAAACTGTGTAGAACTCCAGAGAGGCAAGCAAGGTCCACTGTGAGAAATGGTATTCAATGGCCAGGCACGGCGGCTCATGCCTGTAATCCCAGCACTTTGGGAGGCTGAGGTGGGAGGATCACTTGAGCTCAGGAGTTCGAAACCAGCCTGGGCAACATAGTGAGACACTCCCCCAGCAACTCCAGAAAAAGGAAACTGTATTCTACTGTGTAAACTTCTTGAGAATGGTCTTTTCTTATGCACCACTTACCAGCTGCTTAGTGAATGTTTAATAGTGAATTAAAACTTCCCTCTCTCCACACCCGTTCCCCATGAGTCCCTGACTTGGGAGGGGCAGGTGAGAGAACTAATAAAACATTCTAGAGCTTTCTCCCCTGGCTCCCAAACTCTGACCAGCTTCTCAAATGTCTAGGTTCACAATGTTCTGCCATGCTCTGTCAGGATGCTCTCTGAGATAAATTAAATGATGAAGCCCTGGCCGTGATGCAAATTGCAATCAGACAGGAAGGTTTGAGGGTCAGAAGAAAGGGAGAGGGACCTGGCTAGCTTTGTTCCTTGCCCAAGGTTACCAAATGCTTGCCTTGGCAGTGAGAATGCGTAACCACAATGTTTTCTAATGATTTTCGGTTTTTCTCTTTCTATAGTCACAGCAGAGAAAACATGAAGGTGACAGCCAGTGGTTTCAGAAAGGCAAGAAGCTCTTCCTCTGCATTCACCTTTCTTTTCCCTTTTCACTGAAAGCGAAGATCAACATACGGGTAAGCCCCTCTCGTACATTCGAGGAAGAACACAAGTCAGGACTCAGAGCTACTGAATTTCCACTCCCACTCCCACGCCAGACACACGCTGCGAAATACTGTCTGGTTTTTTATGATAAGGTAGCTGTAGTTAGCCTGAAAATGCTTCCTCAGGAATGGCCTTCATCAGAGATCTCTTCATACTCAGTATGAGGACATGAGGAAGAATATGCTACGTGTGAAAATACACCTTGGCGTTCAACTCTGTGGGTTAAGAAGGGGTTCCTGTGATGGCAAGCTTTTAGGTTATTGAGCAGCAGATTGGATACTTCTGTTTTTCAACAACATAGGTTTCCATGTAATATGAAAAACAGCTGTTGCAAATTTCTAGAAGTGCTGAATCCAGTCTAATAAATGCCTAGCTGCACCTGCAAGAAAGTAAGGGAATGCTGAAGGGTCAAAAATGGAGGAAGAACTATGACCAGTCTGGGTTGCCCCTGGGGCTGCTGGAGGTAAGGTTGGGGAGGACAGTTGGCCAGGCTGGGAATCCAATATGGGAATATTAATTCACTTTAGAATTTATTAAATCAAGGAGCTTAGGCTTTCATGACCAGCAGGCACACAAGAAGGGGCTTGGGCCCCAGAAGAGTAGGGAGTTGGAACTGAGACCCTGGTGTAAGGATGAACTGAAAACCATTGCCTGCTTACACAGGGAGATGACAGGGAAGCTTGCTTGAGAAAAAGAAAAAAGCTCCCCTTAAAATTAATTTATAATAATTAATGTGCCCTCTCGTGGATATGATATTTAAATTTATATTACTAGAGTGGTCTAAGACATGTCCCACCAAGAAATTAATATAAAATGCTGTCACACACCAATAATATCCTTGGGAACCTGGCTGAAATAAAAATAAAACCTTTCTGGGAGGCCGTACATCCATCCTAGGCCTCCTAGCATACCCTCATATGAAGTCCCAACTAAAGATTAACTTATAATTAAAAACTACCATACAGTCCCGGCATGGTGGCTCATACCTGTAATCCCAGCACTTTGGGAGGCTGAGGTGGGTGAATCACCAGAGGTCAGGAGTTCGAGACCAGCCTTGCCAACATGGTGAAATCCCATCTCTATTAAAAATACAAAACTTAGCCGGGCGTGGTGGTGCCCAGCTACTTGGGAGGCTGAGACAGGAGAATTGCTTGAATCTGGGAGGCAGAGGTTGCAGTGAGCTGAGATCGTGCTGCCACACTCCAGTCTGGGAGGCAAAACCAAAAAAAAAAAAAAACCCCTAAAACCAATAGTTAGTGAACAAAACAAAAAACAATATGAAACAGCCAACAACTTCAGATAAAATATAATTATCAGGTAGATTAAAAATAAGCATGTTTAAAATGAGAAGTCATAAAAGAAGTATAATAATAATAACATAACAGAATAAGACATCAAAAAGATTAGACTGAGCTACATAGGAAATCAAATATAACTCAGAAATTTAAAAATTATCATTTAAAGCTTACTATGTTAAACCAAAGATTATATATTACCAAATAAATAACTAATGAATGGAAAGAAAGATCTGAGGAATCTTCAGAAGCCTGTGCAGAGAGATGAAGAGACAGAACATGCAGAGGAAGGGCTTACTGACAAGGAGTGTGGACTGTGAAGGACCAACCATATCTATTAGATGTTCAAGACATGATAAATGAGGACTAATGAAAGTTATGAACCACAGCAGGTTAAGTAACATGAAATCCTCTACTGGACACAACACAGTATAACTAAAAGAAGACCAGTCGGGTGCGGTGGCTCACGCCTGTAATCCAGCACTTTGGGAGGCTGAGGCGGGCGGATCACCTGAAGTCAGGAGTTCGAGAACAGCCTGGCCAACATGGCGAAACCCCATCTCTACTAAAAACACACAAAAAAATTAGCTGGGCATGGTGGCACGTGCCTGTAGTCCCAGCTACTCAGGAGGCTGAGGCACCAGAATCGCTTGAACCCGGGAGGCAGAGGTTGCAGTGAGCCGAGATCACACCACTACACTCCAGCCTAGGCAACAGAGCAAGATTCCATCTCAAAAAAAAAAAAAAAAAAAAAAAAAGACCAAGTAGAAAGGCCAAGATCTTAGAAATTCTCAAAGACAAAAGCATTGCCTACAAAGGAATGAGTTATCAGGTTGTCTGGAACTTTGCAACAGCAACAACAGAAGCCAGAAGACCAATGGAATAATATGTTCAAGTGCTGAGAAGGAATAACCGTCAACTTACAACTACACTATGATTCAAGGATATGGGCAAAATAAACACTTTCACACAAAAACAGAGAGCATTTTCCACTTGAAGACCTTTGCTAAAAGAATTAACAATATACTTCAGAAGGAATTGAACCAAGAAAGAAGCAGTGAGATGTACAATATGAGATAAATTTCAACAAATATCTAATATGTAAAAAAAGACTACTTGGGGAGTATAAAAACATAGTGGAACAAGGGTACTGGTCATAATAGTAGATGAGATGGGCAGAGTTCGGGCATTTGGGCATTTTAGGGCAAAGGGTGGCAATATTAATTAACTCTAGAATTTATTAAATCGAGTATGCTTATGAAAAATTATAAAAAGTTAATCACATAAGAAGAGAAATAGTATGCATGACTTCCAAACCAGTAGAGAGAACACCACAGAATATATATTTCTATTTTTATTTTATTTTTTGAGACCAAGTCTGGCTCTGTTGCCCAGGCTGGAGTGCAGTGGTACAATCTCGGCTCACTGCAACCTCCGCCTCCTGGGTTCAAGTGATTCTCATGCCTCAGCCTCCTGAGTAGCTGGGATTACAGGCACGCACCACCACACCCAGCTAAATTTATTTATTTATTTATTTATAGTAGAGATGGGTTTTACTATGTTGTTCAGGCTAGTTTCAAACTCCTGACCTCATGTGACCCACCCGCCTCGGCCTCCCAAAGTGCTGGGATTACAGGCATAAGCCACCATGCCCGGGCTAAAATATTTTTATTAATGGTCAATAAAAAGATGCAAGAAAGGAAGAGGCAGAGAAAAATCTGGTTAAGCATAAAGCGTAAAACAAAATGACCAAAATAAATCCTAATGTAGCAGAATTCACAAAGTAATAAAATTAAACCCTCAGTTAGCAAGATAGATTGTCAGTCATACTGGATAGAAGAAAATCTAACAATATACTTTAAAAAGGACACAATAGAATGTAAGGAAAAAGAAATGTTGAATGTAAAAGTATTGAAAACGCCAGCAAGAAATTAACCCAGAGAAAAGAAGAGGCAGAGGATGGTAATATTAAGAGTAAACAGGCTGGGCATGATGGTTCACGCCTGTAATCCCAGCACTTTGGGAGGCTGAGGTGGGCGGATCATGAGGTTAGGAGTTCGAGATCAGCCTACCAACATGGTGAAATCCCATCTCTACTAAAAATACAAGAATTAGCCAGGCATGGTGACGGGTGCCTGTAATTCCAGCTACTTGGGAGGCTGAGGCAGAGAATTGCTTAACCTGGGAGGTGGAGGTTGCAGTGAGCCGAGATCCCGCCACTGCACTCCAGCCTGGGCGACAGAGCGAGACTCCGTCTCAAAAAAAAAAAAAAAAAAAAAAAAGTCAAATAAATGAAGAGAAAAAGGAACAATTCATTGGAAAAACATAACTTCCAGACACTAAAACATAGCATCAAATTATACCAAGCCAAAAAAATGATAAAATTTCAGAGATAAACAGACAATTCTGTAGTCATGGGAGAGAATTTAACACATCTCTTTCAATAATTGATAGTTCATGATTACAGAAGGGATATAGAAGATCTGAGCAACACCATGAGCAAAATCAAAAAGATCTTTCTTTCCGAGTACATGCCACTCTTACCAAAAGATCACATATGAGGCTACAAAGCAATCCTTGATATTGCAACAAAGAATCATACAGACTGTTCTTGAGCAACCTCAACTGTTAGACACCAGTAGCAAAATGAAAAGCAAGCCATATATTGGGAAATTTTTTTAAAAAAACCCTCTAAATAATTCATAATTCAACAAGTGACTTAATGGAGAGTCTAAGAACACATTGTTAACATTAATAAGAAAGGAAATTTCTACTCACTGGCTATGGACACCTAGAAAAATAGAGTTTAAAAAATATATATGTGAAAGTAGCAACACAATGTGAAGGTATCCAGGAAGAAATCTATCAAAAGATGTGAAAAACCTATATATATATAATTTTAAAAATTCTTGAAGACCTAAATAAATGGAAAGATACACAATATGGGATGAATTTGTAGAACTGACTTCTAAAGATGTTGATTTTAGGAGATTTATAAATTGAATATATTCCTACTAAAATTCAAATCAAGTTTTTTGAGGTTCACAAATTGATATAATATGTATAAGGTAGAACAAAGAACCAAGAATGCCAGAACATTTTTTTTTTTTTTGGATACACAGTCTTGCTCTGTCACCCAGTCTGGAGTGCAGTGGCACAATCTCGGCTCACTGCAGCGTGGACCTCCTGGGCTTAAGCGATCCTCCTGCCTCAGCCTCCTGAGTAGCTGGGACCACAGGTGCAAGCCACCATGCCCGGCTATTTTCTGTATTTGTTATTTTTTTGCATTTTTAGTAAAGACCAGGTTCACCATGTTGCCCAGGCCAGTCTTGAACTCCTAATCTCAAGTGATCCGTCCACCTGGGCCTTCCAAAGTGCTGGGATTACAGGCGTGAGCCACTGCACCCAGCCACCAGAACGATTTTGAAGACGAAGTTCAACATGTGAGGACTCACTTCCACCACAGCAAGACTTAATTAAATTATAGTAATAAGAAAGTGTGATATTAGCACAAAGAGAGGCAGAATAGAGTCTAGAAACAGGCCCACTCATATGTAGAAATTTGTATAAAGCACAGATGTCATTTTAAATCAGTAGGGAAAGAAGGACTTTTAGCAAGCAGCATTGGAAAAAATGGTTATCCATATGGAAAAAATAAGTTAGATCACGACATCAAACCATATTTAAATGGATTAAAGACCAACATATGAAAAAGCATGACTTTAAAAGTTTTGGAAGGAAATGAAGGAGAATGTTTTTATGATCTCAGGTCAGGAAAAGATTTCTTAAACACAATACCAGAAGCACAAATCATAAACCAAAAGATCAGTAAATTTGACCACATGAAAATATTTTTTAAAAACTCTTTGGTAAATTAAAGATATCATAAACAAAATGGAAAATACAAATCTTAAACTTGGAGAAGAGATTTGGCATGGATATAACCAAGAAAGGATTTGGCCCAGATTTTATAAACAGCGCTCATGGAAAAGGCCAAAGGATATGAATGACAATGCTCAGAAATATCCAATGTTCTTGAAGCATATGTTATCAATGTAACATAAATTAAGCAAAAAGGATCTAATATTTCACACTCATTAGATAGGCAGAAATTTAAAAAGATCTGGCTGGGCACGTGGCTCACACCTGTAATCCCAGTACCTTGGGAGGCCAAGGTAGGAGGATCTCTTGAGCCCAGGAATTTGAGACCAGCCTGAGCAACATAGTGAGACCCTATCTTTAAAGAAAAAAATCTGATCATGCTAAGACCTGCTGAGGGGAGTGTAAATGGGCATGTGCATTTTGGATAATAAGACGGCAATATTTAACAATGCAGTGTAATTACTGAGCTAGAGTGTTGGAAGACTTTCAGCTCCCCTGCAACATTGTTTATAATCAGGAAAAACTGAAAAGAAGCATAAATGGCTAGGTATGAGATCTGGCAGAGGACACATAGTGGGTCTCAAAAGACCATCCTGGCTAACACGGTGAAACCCCGTCTAAAAATACACACACAAAAAAATTAGTCGGGCGTGGTGGCGGGCTCCTGTAGTCCCAGCTACTCGGGAGGCTGAGGCAGGAGAATGGCGTGAACCCGGGAGGCGGAGCTTGCAGTAAGCTCAGATCACGGCCACTGCACTCCAGCCTGGGAGACAGATCGAGACTCCGTCTCAAAAAAAAAAAAAAAAAAAAAAAAAGAGGGTCTCGAAAATGTTAGTACTGTTTTATTTCTCAAGAATAAATTGTATACAGATGTGTTCAATTCCATATTTTCTATACTTATTTTGTATGCTTAACATTTTCACAATTAAAAAATTAATTTGGTGAGGCTGCTGGAGAAAAGGTACTCACACAAGCTGGCGGGACTGTCAATTGATATAACTACTTCCAAGAGCAGATTAGAACTGGTGGTATAGTGATGCCACTCTTTTTAACCTCTTGGATGGACAAAGATAGAAAGGTTGGATAACAGTTTGTGTTGGCAAACAGGCACTCTCTTTGCAGATGGGAATATAGATTGAAGACACCTCCTTGCAGGTAATTTTTTGGCAATATTTGACAAAATTGGAAACTCCCCTTCACCTAGCACAATTTCCTTGAGGTATTTATTCTAAGAAAATAAGCAATTTTAGAGCAAAGATTTATCTACACTGAAGTTTCCCATAGCAATCACAGTATTGTTTCTAATATTAGTAATACAAAAAGAAACAACCTGTATGTCTAACACTAATCGATTCTAATTTATGGTGCAACTGAACAATGGACCAAAATGATGCTGTTGGAAGTTTTTAATGATGTGGAACCGCTTGCAAATTATTAAGCTAAAAGAAAGTAGGTTACAAGATAGCAGGAAGAATAAACCATTAAAAATACCAATCTGTGCACTGACAAATGTTATAAATATTTTACGTTATGTTATGTTATAAACATTTTATAATATAAAAAAATGTTAACTGAAGTTACTTCCTGGATGAATTACAGGTGATTTCATTGTCTTCTAGAATTTTCTTTTCCAAAAATGTTGTGTATGCGTGTAATTATTATTTTAATAGGAGACACTCTCCTTTGGTGATATAATTTAAACAGGACGGTACTGACTGATAACCTCCCGGGGAAGGCAGGGAGCCAAGTACTACAGACTTGTATGTTTCCATGGAAATCTAACGCGCCTTTGATTATCACAGATTCTGGAGAAGAGTGAGGACTTGGGTTCACCAGTGCGTTCCCAAGGACAGGCTGGGCTTCTGAGGAAGTTGCCCACCCTCTCGGAATCTGGTTTGGCCTCCGTAAAATGGGCAGATCCCGCTCGGATGGCCCGGTTCCCGGCTTCCTTTTGCGGGTCAACGGCAGCGTCACGCGCGCGAGCGCGGTCTGCAAAGCCCCCAGCGCTGGGCGTCACGCGGGGATTGCTGTCGCCGCTGCCAGCCGCAGCAGCGACGCGAACTCGGGGCGCCCGGCCCGGGCGCGCGGGGGCGGGGACGCGCACGCGGCGAGGGCGGCGGGTGCGACGGGGGCGGGGACGGGGGCGGGGACGGGGGCGAAGGGGGCGGGGACGGGGGCGCCCCGGCCTAAGCGGGACTAGGAGGGCGCGCCACCCGCTTCCGCTGCCCGCCGGGGAATCCCCCGGGCTGGCGCGCAGGGAAGTTCCCGAACGCGCGGGCATAAAAGGGCAGCCGGCGCCCGCGCGCCACAGCTCTGCAGCTCGTGGCAGCGGCGCAGCGCTCCAGCCATGTCGCGCGGCCTCCAGCTTCTGCTCCTGAGCTGCGGTAGGGCTCGCGAGCGCCTGTCTCGCCTGTCGCCCCCCGCCCCTCCACGACACCCCCTCCCGTCGGTCGCTTGCTCACGACGCGCTCTCTCTTTCTTGTAGCCTACAGCCTGGCTCCCGCGACGCCGGAGGTGAAGGTGGCTTGCTCCGAAGATGTGGACTTGCCCTGCACCGCCCCCTGGGATCCGCAGGTTCCCTACACGGTCTCCTGGGTCAAGGTAGGTGCTGCGATACCCACGGGCTGGGGTTTGGTGGGCTCATTTGAAGACAGCAGGAACCATCTCCCCTAGGCTGGCGACCCTCTGTGGCTGCCAGGTGGGGGCGAGGGGCGTCTCCCGCAGCTGAACTTGGAGTACCCAGCCTCCCGTCGCGCCTCCCCCACCCCATCCGCATCCAGGTACAGGGCCGAATTAGGTTTTGCTCTCCGCAGACCTCAATCCCCTTCCTGTCACTGAAGGTGGCCTGAGATGAATGATCCACTTAAGATGTTTTGGAAGGGCAGAGACTCTCATTTGGATTAATTCTGGAGGCCACCTGTGGTTGTGGGCCAGCAGGTCAGGAAGAAAGCAACAGGGACCTAGATTTGGGCATTGGACAGGGGGAATGTCTCCAGACTTCTGATTTCTTGTGTTTTGTGACTGTGATGCCCATGATACATGGGAGGGGGAGGGGGCAATTTGAAAGGAAAGGCTAAGACACAGAAGTGACTTAGGCCATTTCATCCATGGTAGTTATCAGTGGTCATCTCCTTTGTGGGATACCCTTGGCTTCCTCCCCTAGCCCTCCTCCTCCTTCCTCTGGCAGCCTTGAGAGCATCAGGTGGATGCATGAGCCGGAGCCCGCATGTGTAAGAACAGGCCTTGCTGCTCCTACTGTAAGTGGACTGAGTGACAAGGAGGCTTTTTCAAGGTTTCCTCTTGACTGAAACATTCTCAGATTCTAAGATGGCAATGATGGTGTCATTCCAAAGCCAAGCAGCTACTGTTTGATATCACTGGTCCTTCTTTAAGTCAGGCCACTGCTACCACAGCACCTCCATTTTAACCCAAATGAATATGATATTACAACCTTACTCTGTAGCTCTCACTGATTTGCTGTCTTACCACGGGGGCAAATCTCTGCACTTGTAGCTTTCCCCAAAATGCAGGGCGTTCTTCTGCCCACCATAAAAGATACTATAAGAAACTGTACGTCTTTGGCCACTTAACAGTACAAGGCATCATTGCGGTGATCTCTTTGTGTGTGTGTCTCCTAACTGGATGGTCAGTTCCCTGGGGGGCAGTGGCTGTATCCATACTTCTGTGTATTCTTCACGGCACCTAATTTTTGCCCTATAAATTGCAAAGGTGCTCTGTGAATTCAGCCCAGCACTTCATGAGTTATGCATGACGGGGATGGTGCTGCTGCCTCAGAGCATTGTATTGTGTATAAAAGTAAGGTGTTAAATATTCCTACTTCATTGGTACCTTACTTACTGTGGGATCAGAGAACACAACAATTCCGAAATTGTTCTCATAGTCAAAACAATAGTATTTTTAAAAATATTGTAAAAACAATTTTTGAATGCTCACCACGTGCCAAGCTCCAAGGTAAATATTTACATACATTATCCATTTCCATCCATCGGAAGAATGGACTTAGGGATTAGTACTGTTACTATTCCTACTTTACAGGTGAGGAAACTGAGCCTTAGGGAGGGAAATAACTTGTCCACTTTTGCACAGCTAGCTAAATGGTGGAGTTGGGATTTGAACGAAGCAGTCTGATTCCAAATCCTGAGTTGTTAGAGGTCTATCTTGATCTCTGTTTTCTCCCTTAATAACTTAAGATAAAGAAAATCAAAGTGCCCCTGGGCTAACCAGGCAGGGACTTAGTTATCTCAAAGAACGGGGAAAAACATGAAACCACTATCCCTTCCAGAGAGTAACTATTTAATAAAGAAAACATTATTAATACCCCCAGGGGAGTAATTAAAAAGTACTCATGAAACAAGTAGATGAAATTTCAGGCTGTGAAGTTCAAACAGTTCTGGAGTGAAAGCTTCTTGCACAGGGTCATTTGGAATGGTCCACTAAACCATAGCAATTAACCTTGGACTTCTCCTTGGATGTCAGCTGGTGACGTAACTCGGTAACGCATGAGCTTGTTTATTGGACAGAATTCTTGCGAGATTTACCCCCAAGGTCTTTGAAAGCTCTGTCAAGAAAAAAAGGGACAGCAGTCTCTAGGCGTTCTTTTTTTCCTGTTGATCCATGGAATAGTGCCAATGAAAAGTCATACCGTAGTTATTTTTTGAGAAGTAAATGGTGATTGAGATTCGTGGGTAGGAGAGTTATGCTATACCAATAAACGAATCAGGTGCCTCGAAAGTGACATATATTGTTCCTTTAAGCATTTTTTTTAAAACAGCTCTCAGCATGTTCTGTAGATACTTATTATTTTCCAGCCCAATAATTATACTTTTTCATTGATTATGCTTATACAACAAAAATGGATAGAGTGTTCTGGAGACAAGGCCAGTGGTGAAATGCCAAAATACTTCATTTTACAGAATGTTAAGCATCTGGTCATTTTTCTATAAGTTTCTTGTAAAATGTTTCATCAAAGTGGAGGGGTAGCCACAAAGGGAGGAATTTCATTTTGGTAACCAGAACCAGCTTATCCCATCCTACTCACTTCATCATCACTACCCTGGCTTTGTAAAACCTGTTTTGCCAGCTTAGGAGGGGGCTTCATACTGGGCAAGGAAAGCAGAGTCCCTTGCAGTGGGTTTTCACCATCCACCAGATTGAAGCACATTCTGCAGGCTGTCTGCATATCATAAGTATGGTTATAATGACTCACAATTTAAAATTCTATTCACCACTCAATCCTCCGGCACCATGTAGCATCTTGCCTTTGTCCATTTGGCACTGATACTTGTAATTAACAAAAGGACCCATGTAAACCATGTGTTTTTTATCATATGCCTTTGACCAGAAAACTCAAAACAGACAGCATCCAATCTGTTTGCAACATTAGGGTTGGGAAGGAAGAGTGTTCATTCTGTTCTCTCTGTTTCAAAGATGCAGTGAGATGGGCTAGAGGGGACTTAATAGACACATGTGCAAGAGGCTAAAGGTGAAGCCAAAAGTGGACAGAGATATCCCAATTCCTGTTGGCCCAGCTCTTCTCTTCTATGGACCATGTCCTCTTAACTGGGATCCAACAAAGGGTCCTCTTCTCATCCCTTCCTCCCTTATACTTTTTAAGGCATAATGGGTGATTGAGAAGAAATAGAAAAGTTAATACATTATATTCATTAGGATAGTAGCTCAATTTAGCTTTATGTTTATTTTTTGAGACAGAGTGTCACCCTGTTTCCCAAGCTGGAGTACAGTGGCATGAAGATGGCTCACTGCAGCCTCGACTTCCTGGGCTCGAGTAATCCTCCCACCTCAGCCTCCCAAGTAGCTGAGACTACAAGGGCGTACCACCACACCTGGCTAATTTTTATGTTTTTAATTTTTTGTAGGGACAAGATTTCAATACATTGCCCAGGCTGGTCTCCAACTCCTGAGCTCAAGCCATCCTCCCACTTCAGCCTCCCAAAGTGCTAGGATTACAGGCATGAGCCAATCGATTTATCTTTTAAAGTTGTAATAGACTGGGTGTGGTGGCTGAGGCTTATGCCTGTAATCCCAGCATTTTGGGAGGCGAAGATGGGAGGATCACTTGAGCCCAGGAGTTTGAGGCCAGCCTGGGCAATGCAGTGAGACCTGTCTCTACCAAAAAAAAAAAAAAAAAAAAAAAAAGTTGTAATAGATGTGGTTCTTTGAGGAGGTATTTTGAGAAAATATGCAAATAGACTTTGATCCATGACTTTTCTTCCACTGGCCATGACCTGTGATTAAATTCCAGCATAAAAGGGCATAGCACAATATCATGTCTGTGAGGAGTAAAGCCATGCATTAAAGGGCTGCATGTGGACTTCATGAAAAGCGTCGCTGTGTCTACACTCTCTTTAATGTAGGTTTGGAGAGAGAGGATGACTTTGGTTGGAGTACTTTGGGCCTGGTTGATAATCACTAAAGATAGTAATGAGTGATCATTTATCCCAGAGTTGCAATGCCTTCTTGTATCATGCTAGGAGCCCTGACAGCCTATGGGTGATGCAAAACGAAAGAGGATATATGGTGTCATCTCTGGGTGATGCTGCGGGGGTGAGGAGAGTGAAGCATCACAAGACAAGTGCCCTTTTCAGATGATTTCCAAAGGAAGGGAGAAAAGGGAAGTAAGAGTGTGACTTCATATAAAAGTCTACTATAAATAGACTTTATAATATTGAGAAGAGCCCCAGCTGGGGCAGATCATGGGCCATCCATGGAGTGTTCTGCTTCTGACATTAACACTAAGGAAACTGTTGGAGAGCAGGTTAATGGCTTGCGTGAGGCCACTTCAAAAGTTCAAGGCTGTCTTCCGTGTATGTTGCTAAACTTCTTTTTGGTGGAGTTATGTTTTCTGTCTCTACCATCTTGTGTGATAATGAGCTACAAAACCAGGGATACTGAGGAGAGCAGAGTGCCTTAGGAGGGCCTAGAGTTGATAAGCGGTTGGGGCAGATGTAATCTGTACAGCCAGAGACCTTCATAGCCCATGGAAGGAGCCAGTACTGAACACTTACTGTGCTTCCTTGATTCCAGAATGATTCTGTTGTAAGGTGGATTTAAGAACATGTTTTAGGACAAAAAGGAAACATTTCTACATTAAATGTAGAACCATTGAATTATGAAAACAATGTATGTTAGAATTAAAAAAAAAAAATCGTACTGTCCCCATTGGCACCTATAGTACTTGACCTGGTTGAATCACTTTTATGGGCTCCTCCCTAGGTCAAACCATGAAAGATGTAAAGTTGCTTTTCAGATGTCTCTCATATTTACACTTTCATTGTTTAGTAGATACTTCTAAGTCCCAAATGTGTGCCCCATCCTGGGCCTGGCATTGGCCATCTCAGGATCAATGTAGAACTTTTGCCAGAGGACCATCTTGAGCAAAGGCCTGGGAATCCACTAAGACTTTTTGGGAACCATTGAGGTAACCAGTGATGTAGAAGGGAGACTTAAACAGCAGATATGGCTGAGAGATAACATTAGAAAGTAGGCTAGAGACAGATTGTGAGGGGCCTTGAATGCCCAGCAACAATGACTTGACCTTTATCCTTTTGGCAGTAAGGAGCCATTGAAGGATTTTTTGTTTGTTTGTTTGTTTTTGTTTTTTTTTTTTTTGAGACAGAGTTTTGCTCTTGTCGCCCAGGCTGGAATACTGTGGTGTGATCTCAGCTCACTGCAACCCCCTCTTCCAAGGTTCAAGCGATTCCCCTGCCTTAGCCTCCTGAGTAGCTGGGATTACAGGTGCCCACCACCATGCCCGGCTACTTTTTTGTATTTTTAGTAGAGACAGGGTTTCACCATGTTGGCCAGGCTGGTCTCGAGCTCCTGACCTCAGGTGATCCACCTGCCTCAGCCTCCCAAAGTGCTGGGATTACAGGCGTAAGCCACCACGCCCGGCCTCACTGAAGGATTTTAAGCAAAGACAATGGCATAATGCAAAATATGCCTAAAGCAAAGCATATTTCTCCTGGTGTTGGATAGAATATGATTCATCTTAGAAGATGAGTCTCAGAGGGAGACTTCATTCTTTTCCTTCTTTTCCTCTTGGTCACCAGTCCTGTCCATGTAGTTCTGCGGAGGAGTGGGCAAGGAAGAATGAGGCCGCCTCTGAGTGGCTATAGAAGAAGTCTCATCTAGATGAGAATGGTGGATCACTGAGATTTTTGGACAATAGTGGAACAGAGCACAAGTTGCCAAAATCTTTTAGCTTGATAATGGGGAGGGAGGAAGAAAGCAGCTGAGAGTTAAATTGAAAAAAAAAAAAAAAAAAGCTAAACAAAAAAACCAACTTGTTTTCCATTAATAAAAGGGGGAACCTGAGTCACATGAGGACTGGATTGTCTTAGCTACGTACTTGGCAATGTCACTACACAAAGAAGAGGAAGTTTGGAGAAGGTCTCAGTGACATAAGGGAAAGTTTTATGTAGGGCAAGACTAAAAGCAGATTGATTACCTAAAAAAAGTTTCCTCCCTCTAAAGATGTTTCCGTAATCCCTTCCTGGCTACTCCTGGAATAACCCTAAATTTTGTATCAACAATCATTAGCTCAAAATAGAGCTGGGCAGAAAATACTTCCCTAAGATTCTTTTATACTCATAAGCATGTTTTTGTTTTTCATTTTGTTTTGTTTTGCACTGAGGTGTATTTGGGTAAAATTTCCGTGTGTGTCATGTGGGACTAGTACAGACTTGGGAGCCCAAGGCTTGTTAATATCACTTGATGCTTTCTTGGAGGACCAGTCTACTGCATATCCCAAATTGGGACAATTTGGAGAAGTGTTCCAGTTCTTAGCTTCCAGTGGTTGCCAGCAGTCCTCGGGGTTACCGATTAGAATCGGTATTACCGATAGAATTGAGGTTACCGATTCTAGAAGAGCTGGTAGCTGCCTAGGATTATGGGTCCACATAGGGAAAACCTTTAGGAAAAGAAGGATGCTGGTTTCCATAAACAGTTCATAATCACCTTGGACCAGCAGTTCTGGAGAACAGAGGTTCTGATTCAAATCAGGCCTTGAGGTCTCATTCCCCAAGGAGTGGGAGGCATGTAAGCCCAGGGGACAAAGCAGGACTGGCCTCGAGGCTGGAGCCATGTGCCAATAGCCCCCTACGTACCAACCTTATTTACATGGTGGTGCGGGGTGCCTTATCATTAGGAGTCTTTCAGTTGTGAGGGATTGTAAATCCAATCAAAACTAGCCTAAAGAGAAGGAAATATATTGGCTTATATATAATTGGAATGGGAAAAAATTGAAAAATCAAAATACAGTTCACATTTCAGTTATGGATGGCGTTGTGGCTTGAATTGTGCCCCCCCCAAAAGATCAGAAGTTCTAATTTCTGATGCTTGTGATTGTGACTTTATTTTGAAATAGAGTCTTTGCAAATGTAATCAAATTGAGATGAGGTGCTACCTGACTAGGGTGGGCCCTACTTCAGTATGAATGATGTCCTGATAGGAGAAAACACACACTGACACAGACAACAGGGAGAAAGCTATTTGAAGACAGACACAGGGATTGGAGTGATGTGTCTACAAGCCAAGCAACGCCGAGGACTGCTGGCAACCACTAGAAGCTAAGAGAAAGGCACAGAACAGATTCTCCCCTAAAGCCTTCAGAGAGCTTGGCCCTGGCAACACCTTGATTTTGGACTTCTGGCCTCCTGAACTGTGAGAGAATACATTTCTATTGTTTCAGCCACCCAGTTTGTGGTGCTCTGCAGCCCTGGCAAATGAATATAGCTAGGCTTAGAGGTTCATGAATGTCCCCAGGACTTGGTGACTTTCCATCTGTCAACTCTGCCTTCCTTTACATTGGTTCTGTGTCCAACCTCTACATAGCAGCCAGATCACAGCCAGTAACTACAGAGTTGGACAAGTTGCACATCCTTTATCTGAAATGCCTGGGAGCAGAAGTGTTTCAGATTTTTGGATTAGGGATGCTCAACCTGTATATCCTTCCAGAAGCAAGTGCAAAGGAGAAGGTTGTGTTTCTCTTCAAATATCTCAACTTATGTCTGATTATTCTCAAGGGACTTTGACTGGGTCACGTGCCTATCAGAGCCAGTCTCCATGATCGTGGGGTACCAGGCCTGAGTTAAGTTGCCTCCTCTAGAACCTAGGTGTGGAGTTCTTCAGAGGACATGAACTCAGAGCTTGTAATGGTACCTCTTCCAGGTCCAGCAGGCCCCACGGGATGCTAATAGAAGAGAGATGATTGGCATGAACAATGAAGGGTCCAACATTGCCTTCAAATCTCAGTTCCAAAGGGGTTTTGATACATTATTATGATGGTGCTTTAAAAAATACAGAATGTTGTGGATATTTTGAAGACATCATATGTGGAAAAAACAGTTTCTCCCTAGAGCAGAGATTGGGACTTCTAGGACAACTTTCCCAGAGGAGACGGGAAGTGTCAGTGGTAAGGAAATGACAGAGTGGGTGGATGGTGTGGAAAGCTATCACAGACAAGAATAATTTCTATTACCAGCATTACCAATTATACAGCACTTTTCTTGTTTTCTCACTTGATTTTATAATAACCCCATGAGCAAGTAAGGGAGCTCCAGATCACGAAATGGGGCTCAGAGGTGAAGTGACATATGGAAGATGACCCAGCTAACACATGGAGAAACTGGGATTGACTTCAGACCTTTGATTCCAAAGCTAGTGCTCTTGTAACTTTCTCACTCTTTCTAAAATTCACGCATTCATTCAGTAAATACTTTTTCAATACGTCTTATATTCAGGGAACTATTTAGTATGCAGAATGAAACCTTGGTTATAAAAAAAAGGAGAGAGAGAGAGTAGTAACATCTTCAGGGCTTTCTGTGTGATCGATATGATGCTTAGGGTCTGTATACATCATCATAAGTATCTTCACGCCAGCTCAGTGAGATGTGATCACCCCCAGATTCCAGTGGAGCTATCCAAGCCTGAGAGTGGTTCAGTCAGTTGGCCAAGAGCAGAGGTAGCCGTGGGAGGGCTGGGGTTTGGTTCCAGCTCAGTCCAATGCCAATGCCTGTGCTCTTAATTATGTTGCCTCTGCTATACTCATAACTCTGTTAACAGCCATAAATCCAGCTCTGTCTGTTAGACCCAGTAAATTTCAAAGTAGAAAATCATTTTTCTAATAAAACTACGCATAGAAAAAAAGATATTAATGCTCATACATTCTACCCTCATTATGACATCAACCTCTGAGCCAAACTATTTTGCACATTATAAAGAGCTGTTTTTATGATGAATGGGAATTATATTGGCACTTTAATTGAGTTAGAAACCAAGGTACATGAATGTTAGTGCACAAGAAATGCGATAAAAAAAGCTGCTCAATGTGGTTGGAATACATCAGATTAATTTAATACCAACTTTAAATCCTTACAATCTATACCCTTAAATATGTTTTATCAAATTATTAGATGAAATTTTTATACTGTTTTTTTTTCTTTTAGGTAGGTACCTATTGCACATTCCCCCCACCCCTGCTTTTATTTTTTTATTTTTTTTTAAGACGGAGTCATGCTCTGTCACCCAGGCTGGAGCGCAATGGCACAATCTTGGCTCACTGCAACCTTCGCCTCCTGGGTTCAAGCGATTCTCCTGCCTCAGCCTCCCAAGTAGCTGGAATTACAGATGTCCACTACCACGCCCAGCTAATATTTTGTATTTGTGGTGGAGATGTGGTTTCACCATGTTGGCAAGGCTGGTCTTGAACTCCTGACCTCATGTGATCCACCTGCCTCAGCCTCCCAAAGTGCTGGGATTACAGGCATGAGCCACCGTGCCTGGCCCTGCATTCTTAACAAATCTGCTATATGATAAATTTAGATTTCAATTTTGTGATCAAAACTCTTTTTTTGCTATAAAATGAAACTATTGCCCTCTTAGCTTCAAATATGGTAATGTAGGAGGTTGGCATATATTTGGATAAAATTATGTAAACTTAAAAAAAAACACTTTCCACAATAGGATGTTTTAATATTGGTTCAGTTTCAGCCATAATTAATGATTTATTTTATGTCTTTTGTTTTAGTTCAAATTAGTTCATCATTAAAAAAAAAAAACTGACTCCATTCACGTGCCCATACAATTAGTACTTGTGTTTGCTTGATTTAGCATTCTGCAAATGAAAGAGAGTTTGTTTTAATTTAGGGCCTGTGCTTTCCTTAAGGTCAAATCTCCATTTGAGAGAAAGAATATGGTATTTAAATAATTTAGTCAAATTGGAGGCCTTGAGACAAGTCAGAGTCCCCAGGCTTTCTGAAAATGAGATGTCCCACGTTTGCACTTTTCCAGCCCAACCAAAAATGATAGAGTTGTCAGCATAAAAGTTAATGTACAACATGTGGATTTTTAAAACATGATTGGGATGAGTGTTTTGAGTAATTAATTTGCTGAAATTGTGTTGTGCTTTAGCGCACTGTACTACAATATTAGCATTGTGAAGCGTGCATTAAATAGTTCCTGTCAATTATGGTTGGCTGTGAATGAATCTGAGGGTTCCTTTTGTTATAAATTACTATTTCCTAAAATGGTTTTGCAGAGAAGCAATGGAACACTTTTAGATTTGGAATGTTTAAAGAGCTGTTCTTGCCAGTGGTTGATTTTGAGTGAGCTCCAATGTTTATGAGAACTCATAAAACAAAGCAAAGTGGGGATGGCCCATTTGCTGTTACTCCGTTTTCCTCCCACTGAAATTTCCCTCCAGTTTTTGGTGGTGCCTCTGCCACAGTTAGCTCATCTGATAAAGCAGGGTGATAGCTGCCTGGCCACGTATCTGATGATAATGATATGAGCTTTTGCATACGGTCCCTTGATCCTGCTAGGGCCCCACCCCCATTCTGAGCATGCAACATTAACATAAAAACTACCACGCCTTTTGCAGCTGTGGATAAACCCCAAATTCCACAGCTGGGGGTCACAAGAGAAAGTTTAGCTGAAAATGTATATACCTAAAACTGGAAGTTAGAGGGAGGGTTATGAAATATTTCCAGGTGCAATGTATGAATTTACAGGGAATTCTTTTTGCTGTAGTTAGTTATTAGGCAAACAGCGCTGTTCATTGGTTTGGCAAGAGTTCCTAGGTTTTGCGGATAGTTCTCTGGGTCATTTAGGAAAAGGGGTGTTTGGAAGATGACCCTGTGAGAGTTGAGATATTTTGCCATGATCCCACTGGTGGCAGCACATCAGAATTCTGCAGGTCGCTTTGAGGTTCTTTGTTTTGCCTTCTCCCTTGATTCTTCCTTCTGTTCTTATGGCTCACCCTGCCTTTGTTTTGCCATTTAAAAATAACTAGCGGCCCACTGACGGTTTTGCCAGAGGCCCTTGGAAATCTAACCGTCAAATAAATTTTATTGGTGTTGCTGCTGATTTTTAAAATGAATTCTCTGCAAATAGGCAGAAGTTACTGCCAGCCAGTTTTGATCACCAGCACCTTTTTGCTTCAACAGTTCCCAGCAGCTAACACAATAATGGGGCCATCTTTATGTAAATAGACACAATAGTTTATGTTTCTACCAGCTCCAGAGGGGTTCACAGTGTTGATCTTGACTTTCAGATGGGCCTTTCTGAGCTGAGGGAGGGGTTGCTGGATGGGAGAGGAGCTTCCCAGGAGAAAACCATGGGTGAATAATCTCAAAACGGTTGTTGCAGCTACACTCGCATTTGGAGGTTAATTTAGAAAAAGAAAAGCAAGATTGGACATCGGAATGGGGACTGCAGGGACTGGGCCGAGCTAATTATTTCAAACTGGCCTTTCAGGCCATCCTAGACACAGATTGGCCCTGGATGGGCCTCGGTCTCTGGTCTCTTGAAAGCCCTTGCCTGGTAGGAAGAAGCCGCTCTGCCAGGCAGCGGAAGGGAGAGGCAAGCAGTGTGAGCCCATGACGAGGCTTCAGTTTATGGTTTACTTAGGCTTGAAAAGGGAAAAATGGTGCTAAATTAGATGTGTTCTGGAATCAGATGGACACTGTTAGTTTCCTCTAAATTTCCTTGGCCCCACCTCCTTTTTGTGCTTTATTTTTGCACACCTATGGGCCCCAGTCTTTTAGCTTCCTCCCATAGATTCTTGATTATTTAGGAAGGAATCTTTCCACACAAAAAGGACCATCAAGAAATGGGATTTATGTCCGCAGACTCGGCCTGAGAAGAGCCGTTCATCTCAGCTCAGGGCTGGGAGGGAGCTGAGCAGGTTTTCTTGCAGGAGCGATCAATCTGCCACCAGATGTCTCTGTAGCCCACTCTACAGGAATGCTCACAAACACCAGGGCTGGAGCCTGAGCTTTCCGGTGACCTTGTGGTATATGCTCTGAATTAATAAATGAAGCAGAAATGACTGTGTGTGTGTGTGTGTGTGTGTGTGTGTGTATACGAGTGCACACGTGCCCATGTGTATGTATTTTCTTTCCTGAGTTGCTTCTCAGAGTATTCCCCTAACTCCTTGGTTATCTCTTTCCCTACACTGAGTTCCTTCCTAAAAGTCAGAGAAGAGTTGTAGGGTGCTCCCAGAACGGGAGATTCATCATTGATAGGTGCAAGCAAAGACAGTGGCAGTGGGCCCTGATAATCTCTGTCTCCTTCCCTAAGGTGGCTCTTGGGTGCAGTTATCATGCTAGGGACAGGTAAGGAATGTCACTTAATCCTGGGCTCCCTGCTGGTCCCCAGCCAACCAGCAAAGGGAAACTCAGGTGCTGCTAGGGGATGTCATTGTTGAAGGGCTGCCCAGGAAGGCTGAAAACAAGGATTTGCTTTACTGCATGTGTACATTCATTTTAGAAGCTTTAAAGTATTTCAATGGAGGAGCAACTTAGCAAGTTAATTAGGCAAATTAAAAATATGTCTAGGAAAGAGAGAATTAATGGTGAATGTGGTATGAGCCTAATCTATGCAGTGGGAGATGCTGTGGACACTCCACCAGTTTGATCACAAAGAATTCACAGAAAGCAAGCCGCGCACGGTGGCTCACGCCTGTAATCCCAGAACTTTGGGAGGCCGAGGCGGGCGGATCGCTTGAGTCTGGGAGTTCAAGACCAGCTTGGGCAACAGAGCAAGACACTGCCTCTAAAAAAACAAACAAATAAAAATTAGCCAGGTGTGGTGGCACAGGCTTCTAGTCCTAGCTACTGGAGAGGCTGAGGTGGGAGTACCAGAAGGTTGACTCAGGAGGCCAAGGGTGCAGTGAGCCATGATCAAGCCAGTTCTCTCCAGCCTGGGTGATAGAGCGAGACCCTGTCTCAAAAAAGAAAAAAAGAAAGCCAGCCAGATAAAATGTCTGGCTAAATTGGGCATCTCCCCAAGTCCGGCTGGTCTGTCCTGAGTACAGTGAAGTCAGCTGTTACTGCCCTTCCATGTGGAGTTTGATATGAGCAGCAAATGATCTGACACATACACTCTCTATAAAGCATGCTTCTCAGCTGTCTCACTGCCATAGTACAGAGAAAAGGTGTGGCACATTCGGCGACGTCAGGCATGACCACACAGAGACACAGCCCTTGAGGAACAAGGTGACTGTTCGCAGGAGGCGTTGCTCATCTGCTTATCTGATTTTAGTTGAATTGTCTGGCAAGGATCATAACAGATTTAGGAATTTTTCCAAATAAAAGGCTGGGATACAAAAATAGGAATCATTCAGTGGGTGAGTTGGTATCTGAAGAAAACAAGAGAACATTTAATACAGAACAGTCCTATCTATACATGTATACATAGACACAAAATATAATCCAGCAAGATTCACACACAGCATATCACTGTCATCAACAGTGACTCTCTCTCCCTAATATAGGGTGGAAATTGGGATACTTATGATAGAATCATGAGATGTAGTCCTGATATATTCCGAAGATGTAGCCTTGGGAATTTTCATAGATCTTTCCTCCCCCAGAGGTCACACACACACAAAAGCATCACGTCTTGTTTTACAAACATAAGTTGAGGCTGGATCTTCTGAAAACAAAATGGAAACATTGGTGTCGAGTTGGAGTGCTTGCAGTGGACCGTGATGCGCTCTGATTCCTTCTTCACAGTTATTGGAGGGTGGTGAAGAGAGGATGGAGACACCCCAGGAAGACCACCTCAGGGGACAGCACTATCATCAGAAGGGGCAAAATGGTTCTTTCGACGCCCCCAATGAAAGGCCCTATTCCCTGAAGATCCGAAACACTACCAGCTGCAACTCGGGGACATACAGGTGCACTCTGCAGGACCCGGATGGGCAGAGAAACCTAAGTGGCAAGGTGATCTTGAGAGTGACAGGTGAGGTGACCTGCTGCACTTGTTTTCTTCTTGAACAATGCATGTGTACTTCCTTTAGGTCCTAAAATCGTTCCTCTCTTTTGGAGTGTAGCTCTAGAGCTTTGGATCACATCTGTGGCTGAAAGTGGAAATCCGCTGCAAGCATGTCACCATTTTCTCTTTCTGTGGCTTAAATGATGCCTTTTGTTTGACTTTTGCCCAACACTTGTTAGGGGCTGAGGGTGGAAATGATAAAAATGTGGTCACAGAGCCCCTGATTCCGTACAACCGTTGATTTCTCCTTCTGTCAGGGATCTGAAAGGAATTGGACTTCGGGTAATATTATTACACCTGCAAGAGTACAGTCCCTGTTTAAGGGGGCAGTGTGTGCTTTTTGCTTAGTGTTGTATGCACACACCTCCCTTAGGCCCTCCTGGATCTCCAGCCCTTCATCCTGGTTTCTTTGTTTCCTGGTACTTAGTACAACTGGCATGTTATGTATGGATTGATTTACTGTCTGTCTCCCCAAGAGAACAAGAACCTCTGCGTTTTCTTCTCTGATGTATCTGGGCACATAGTAGGCCCTCAATGAATATTCACCTGAATGAGAGGAACCTTGCAGAGGAGAGTGGAGAGGGCAGGCATGTCCTGCAGGGAGTGGAGAGAAAATGAAGAGAATAGCTGATTTTCTCTCCTTTTCCTCTTCCATGGCGATATTGCCTACAACTTAAGGGGTCAGAGTCTACAGTCACTTAGATCTGGCTCAAATATTAACTCTGCCTTTTGTTAGTGTGTGACCTTGAGCAAATCACGGATTGACACTAAGCCTCAGTTCTCTAATCTCTAAAATGGAAGTAACGTCTACAACATAGGCTTGTTGTGAAGGTTAAATGAGAAGTTGCGTTAAAATGCTGAGTGTAGTGCCCGGGATAGACTGAATGACCAATACATATTAGGGACCATGAGGACAATGGCTCTCATTACCCACGGCTGTGAGAATCCATCCCTCGACTGCTGCACAAAATGTCGAATCCATTTTCAGGGGTTGACATCTCTGGAGATCTAGCCATTGGCTCCAATGGCAGAACCCCCTCCGCTCACTTGCACTCCACCTGCTCCTGCCTGGGGCATCAAGCAGATTCTGTTTGCAAGCACACTATAGCCAAAGCTCAACTTGCTTCCCCAAACAGCACATTGGGTGTTGCACCTGAGTGGGGAGAGGCACCTCCCTTCATGTCTGTCCCTGGGCTAAAGGCCTCGCTGCTCTTACCCTCCCTTCGTGCTGCACCAAACCCTTTAACAGCCCTGAGGGAGTTGTTCTTCCACCCAACCATGCTGGCACCCTTGCCGAAAGAGCTTGAATGATTCTAGAAAAATCTGTTGACGTATTTGGCAATATCAGGGCAGCTCCCCTGCTTCCTTTCATAGTCCCTGAAACCTCCTGAGGTGAGGACACACCACAGTCTACCCAACAGTGATGAAGTTAAGATAATTTCTGGATTAACAAGTGGTGGTTCATCTGGTAGGAGGACAAAATAAGCCAGGAAAGGCTTGACATCCGAAGTGCAGGCAGACAGGCCGCAGGATAAGCCTGGACCAGCTGTCTGGCTCAGCCGCCTTGGTCCTTGGTCCTTGACCCTCTCTGAGCCTCGGCTCTTTCATCTGTAAAATGGGACTACTCAGGCCTGTTCTGAAGATTCGGAAAGATGCCATGTGAGAGTCGCATGCAGCCAGACACAGAGCGACAGTGCGCGCCGGCTGCTGCTGTCACCTTCACTGTCACTGTTACTGTCGTTCATCCTGATGGTGGGAAGAGGAGACAAGCAGGACTCCAGGACCAAGGAACAAAGCATTCTTAGCTTTTTTTCATGGTAGAAAAATCCTGTTAAAATGGCTTCACATGTCGCTTACTTTTTTAAAGGATGCCCTGCACAGCGTAAAGAAGAGACTTTTAAGAAATACAGAGCGGAGATTGTCCTGCTGCTGGCTCTGGTTATTTTCTACTTAACACTCATCATTTTCACTTGTGTAAGTATCTTCTTAAAACATCTTCTCTTATTAAAAGATTACCCAGGGCACCAATCCAAGTATCTCTTGCAGATAGTGCGAATCATTTAATAATGGTGAGAGAGATTATTCTTTGAACCCTGGACTTTTTGAGGCCCCTAGACTGGGAGAATCATTACAGGAAGCTCCCTGAAATATTTCCAGCTTTTGTCTAGTGGCTACGTTTAGAGCATTGTGGAAAAAAAAAACAAAGTAAGATATAGGAAGGACGTTTGGGAAATGACAAGGGGTTCTATGCAAGAGCAGAGGCCCTGTAGGCGCAGTGCTAGAAGTTGCAGCGCTGAGGGTCCCCCATCCCAGAGCAGAGGCCCCGCTCTTCCTGTGGGTGAGGGAGTGGGCCCCACTGCCCCAGGGATGCCAGGGGATAGATCAGCCTCCTTTGGCTGCCTTCAAACTATTTCTCGTGGGGGTTCTCCCCTTCTATTTTTGGTATTTCTGCCCATGCCTTAAGAATTAATCCCAAGAAGCCAGAGCAGTGAGGCACAGTGGGAGGCTTCCGGGGTGCAGGATGGCTGGCCGGTGCTCAGGCACCCTAGACATGCCCATGAGCTGTTGGTTGCAGGTTCTGGCTCAAAGCCCTCAGAGATTCTTTCTGCATGGCTGCTCACCTGTGTTGATGATGGTTGTGGGAGAGTAGGGCCACATGTGTGTCTGACCCCTCTAGGAAGTGATCTGCCCCCTTTGTCTCCATCCACCAGGCAGGGCTGGCTACCTAGGGGCCAGGACAGACTTCACCCAGGAGCTACCCCAGGACTGGTTCTTGCCACTCACTGTGTCCCTCTATTCACTTACTTGCCTCTCTGGCTGTGCACTCATCTCTCTGGTTTCTATTTTAGATACCAGTCAATCAGAGACTCCAGTGAGCACCTACTATGTTCAAGGCATTATGCTAGGCACTGTACAGGGCATAAAAAGGTGTAAGACATTGTTCCTGCCCTCAAGGAGCTTACAGTTAGGATGTTAGGGTTATTTGCGTATAAGAAGATAATTAGAGTTACCAGGCAGTATGTTTTAAACATGAATGACTTTAGCTTCTTGTTGGAAAATGCCTGCTTCTGTGGGCATTGACTTTCCATACAGAGACCTAACAGTAGGGGGTCGAAATGGCCACAATCAGTGAATCTCCTGGTCCAAGTTTAGAGACGCCAGTGAAATGGTTGGTACAAATCCCTTGTGGAGCGAGTGAGGCAGTGAGTATGAGAGCTTCCAGAATGGGTTGTCTAGCCAGCTCTTAGTGAATAGAGTTTAAAAGGAGGTGACAACTGCTGAATTTTTCCAATTATTCACTTCACATTTCTTTCATTTCTTTTTAGAAGTTTGCACGGCTACAGAGTATCTTCCCAGATTTTTCTAAAGCTGGCATGGAACGAGCTTTTCTCCCAGTTACCTCCCCAAATAAGCATTTAGGGCTAGTGACTCCTCACAAGACAGAACTGGTATGAGCAGGATTTCTGCAGGTTCTTCTTCCTGAAGCTGAGGCTCAGGGGTGTGCCTGTCTGTTACACTGGAGGAGAGAAGAATGAGCCTACGCTGAAGATGGCATCCTGTGAAGTCCTTCACCTCACTGAAAACATCTGGAAGGGGATCCCACCCCATTTTCTGTGGGCAGGCCTCGAAAACCATCACATGACCACATAGCATGAGGCCACTGCTGCTTCTCCATGGCCACCTTTTCAGCGATGTATGCAGCTATCTGGTCAACCTCCTGGACATTTTTTCAGTCATATAAAAGCTATGGTGAGATGCAGCTGGAAAAGGGTCTTGGGAAATATGAATGCCCCCAGCTGGCCCGTGACAGACTCCTGAGGACAGCTGTCCTCTTCTGCATCTTGGGGACATCTCTTTGAATTTTCTGTGTTTTGCTGTACCAGCCCAGATGTTTTACGTCTGGGAGAAATTGACAGATCAAGCTGTGAGACAGTGGGAAATATTTAGCAAATAATTTCCTGGTGTGAAGGTCCTGCTATTACTAAGGAGTAATCTGTGTACAAAGAAATAACAAGTCGATGAACTATTCCCCAGCAGGGTCTTTTCATCTGGGAAAGACATCCATAAAGAAGCAATAAAGAAGAGTGCCACATTTATTTTTATATCTATATGTACTTGTCAAAGAAGGTTTGTGTTTTTCTGCTTTTGAAATCTGTATCTGTAGTGAGATAGCATTGTGAACTGACAGGCAGCCTGGACATAGAGAGGGAGAAGAAGTCAGAGAGGGTGACAAGATAGAGAGCTATTTAATGGCCGGCTGGAAATGCTGGGCTGACGGTGCAGTCTGGGTGCTCGCCCACTTGTCCCACTATCTGGGTGCATGATCTTGAGCAAGTTCCTTCTGGTGTCTGCTTTCTCCATTGTAAACCACAAGGCTGTTGCATGGGCTAATGAAGATCATATACGTGAAAATTATTTGAAAACATATAAAGCACTATACAGATTCGAAACTCCATTGAGTCATTATCCTTGCTATGATGATGGTGTTTTGGGGATGAGAGGGTGCTATCCATTTCTCATGTTTTCCATTGTTTGAAACAAAGAAGGTTACCAAGAAGCCTTTCCTGTAGCCTTCTGTAGGAATTCTTTTGGGGAAGTGAGGAAGCCAGGTCCACGGTCTGTTCTTGAAGCAGTAGCCTAACACACTCCAAGATATGGACACACGGGAGCCGCTGGCAGAAGGGACTTCACGAAGTGTTGCATGGATGTTTTAGCCATTGTTGGCTTTCCCTTATCAAACTTGGGCCCTTCCCTTCTTGGTTTCCAAAGGCATTTTATTGCTTGAGTTATATGTTCACTGTCCCCCTAATATTAGGGAGTAAAACGGATACCAAGTTGATTTAGTGTTTTTACCTCTGTCTTGGCTTTCATGTTATTAAACGTATGCATGTGAAGAAAGGGTGTTTTTCTGTTTTATATTCAACTCATAAGACTTTGGGATAGGAAAAATGAGTAATGGTTACTAGGCTTAATACCTGGGTGATTACATAATCTGTACAATGAACCCCCATGATGTAAGTTTACCTATGTAACAAACCTGCACTTATACCCATGAACTTAAAATGAAAGTTAAAAATAAAAAACATATACAAATAAAAAAATCCCGACTTTGGGATGAGTGCTAGGATGTTGTAAACCAGTTTGAGAATCAGAATCCAAAATGAGAGCTGAAAGATTGGCTGAGTCTTTCTCGGAGGGAGGGCATGCTGGCAGACAGAGCTTTGTAAACAGCATCCTCCTTCCCAGAGATGCTTCTGCTTCCATCCTGGGGCCACGTTGCTACCCAGTACATGAGCAGCTCATACTAACATGCACGGTCATGGGTGGGCGGGATGGAGGGAGGGTTTCTGCTTCAGAAAGATGTGTAACATCAGGGGCTTTGTGCCTGGATTCATGGGTTTCACTCAAGATTCTCAAATAGGTCCCTTCCCCCCAAAATGTTAAGAACGATGTGGTCTAAGTAGTTGTAATAGTTATAAAAGCATCAGGCCAGGCACGGTGACTCATGCCTGTAATCCCAGCACTTTGGGAGGCCGAGGCAGGCGGATAACGAGGTCAGGAGATCGAGACCATCCTGGCTGACACGGTGAAACCCCGTGTCTACTAAAAATACAAAAAATTAGCCGGGCGTGGTGGCGGGTGCCTGTAGTCCCAGCTACTCAGGAGGCTGAGACAGGAGAATGGCATGAACCCTGGAGGCAGAGCTTGCAGTGAGCCGTGATTGTGCCACTGCACTGCAGCCTGGGCGACAGAGCAAGACTCCGTCTCAAAAAAAAAAAAAGCATCATAAGTGGAAGTCTCTTTACAAAGATGAATACACATAAAATGTCTCTAAAAGCTGTGGAATCACTTTCAATGGAATCAAGTCTGTTCTCAAATGCTTTACCAAAAGTGCCAGGGCATGGTAATTGAGAGTTCACAGAGCTCCTAGTCACCTGAGTGTGTAGCCCAGCTTCAAGATTTGGAAGTTATATTTCCTTGGGCAGAGGACTTACCCCTCTAAGCCTTAGCTGGCCAATCTTTAAAATAAGAATAGTATCTGCCTAATAGGTTTATTGTGAGGATTAAATAAGATAATATATAGAAGCAGTAAGCCTAGTGTGTAGCAAAAGGTAAGCCTTTGACTGATATTAGAACAAGAAAGGAGAAAAAGGTAGCAGAGAAAGTATCAGTAACCATAAATCTTTGACAAAGTGGTTTTGTTAAAAGGAATGAATTGGCTTGGTGAAGGAGTCATGCTGCTTTCAGAGGATTAATACTCAGTGTACTAAAATTCTTCGTGGCCATTAGAATTACAGTACAGGACACACCAGGAAGAAGGGTTGCCCTTTGTCAGTTTGGACTGAATTAAGCTGGAAACATGATGGAAATTTGAGAGCAGGCGGACTCAATGTTTCAGACCTAGTCTTTGGTATAAGAAAAAGTTTGTGTGTGGCGGGGCACGGTGGCTCACATCTGTAATCCCAGCACTTTGGGAGGCCAAGGCGGGCGGATAATGAGGTCAGGAGTTTGAGAGTAGCCTGGCCAGTATAGTGAAACCTGTCTCTACTAAAAACACAAAAATTGGCCAGGCGTGGCGGCGTGTGCCTGTGGTCCCAGCTACTTGGGAGGCTGAGGCAGGAGAATCACTTGAACCCGGGAGGCGGAGGTTGCAGTGAGCCGAGATCGCACCACTGCACTCCAGCCTGGGCAACAGAGTGAGACTCCATCTTAAAAAAAAAAAAAATGTGTGTGTGTGAGGCAGAGAGAGAGAGAGAGAGAGAGAGAAGGGGGTGTAGAAGAGAATGGAGGGCAGAATTTGTCAAGGAGAGTGGACTGGTCTCAACTGCCTCGATTGAGGCCTACGAAGATGTTTCAGAGGAAGGCAGATGATCATGGACCATATTTATTCTTCATCTCCATTGCCAGGGAAAGCTTTGTATTCAAGGCTGTCCCTTGTCTATGAAATTAGTTCTAGAGTTATAATAATTTTGCCTTGGGATGTCCCAGGGCACAAATACAGATGTGACTATCAGCTCCACATTCTTCCAAAAGAAAGCCTGTGGTTTTTTCGTATTTATAATAATACTTAGGAGGTTTCCTCGTAGAAAATACTGAGCCACACTCATGGAATCCAGCAGAGCCCGATTATTTCCTGGGGTTGCAAGGGAAGAGATAATAACAGCGACTTCTGGACGTAGAGACAGCAGAGCGAGGCCATGTGTTCAACCTAACAGCACAGTGAGAGTCGAGAGTCTTGGAATAACTCAGTCTGGTTCCCAGCTCTTTCCTCACTAGCAACTTTATTTGGTAGCATTAACTGGGTCATTGTTTAATACCTCATCTTTCCTACGTAAAAATAGCTGAAGACCTAAAAATCTTAGGATACGAGCTATGTGCTTAATTCACCAGCTATTGTCCCCCATAATTTTGTAACTGATTGTCTGCAGAGGCAGATGGGACCAATTGGTTGGTTAAATGCAGTCAGTCAGTTATTTGGTCATGGTCTACTATTGTTATTTATTGTCTTCTCAAGACTAGATGTGCATAGTTTTTAATTTTCACCTTTAAAGTACATTTAAAGTACGTACGAAATTAAGATTCTACCACCTGCCATTCTGTGGTGTATGTGTGTGTGTGTGCGTGCGTTGAATGGGTGAAATTAAACATAAGTTATGTTGGGCGAGTATGTACTCCAGATACAATACTGTTGCAGACACCGTGCAATACTTAACCTAGTGGGACACATTCTTTCAAGGAGCTTACAATCAACTGGAAGGAGAAGTGAGCTCAGAGCCATATACATGGTTGCTTGTTTTACTAAATATGAGAGCAATATATGAAATATGAAGATTACTGGGAACACAGAAAAATAACTGTGGCAATGTCCGGATTCTTCTGGGAGCACCTTAGGAGGCCTTGCAGAGCTGATTCTGTGTGAGCTTGGGCTTGATTTTGAATGGTAGCCATGGGAAGAGCAGTGAGAATGGTGAGGGCACAGTCTCTAAGGCAAGAAAGGAGAGAGCAGGCTGAAGATAGGGTCGTATGGGAGTTTAGGTGGGCATGGGGTGGCTTCCGCCCAGGTGGAGGAGGGAGGAGGCAGTAATGGAAGATGGATAAGTTATTGTAGAGTTTGTACAGTGGTAGTGTCAAAGGATTCTGAGTTGGGGAGCCACATTGTCAGATCCAATTTTAGGATAATAACCAGGAAAACAAAGTAAAGCATGAAAGAGCTGGAAGAGATGGGAGGCAGGAGGACCACGTAGGAGACTGAAGGGAAGCCTGAAGAAGCACCGCATCAACAGAAGAGAAGAGGAGGGCTGGACTCCAGCCGGCTCCTGCACGTGTCTTTTCAATTGCCAGCCTTGGGTTTTCTTATGATCCTAGCTGCTGCTTATATGTTTTTGTTATTATTTTTTAAAAACTCAGCCATCTTTTCCTTTTAAAAAATAACAGAATGCAACCGGGCACCGTGGCTCACGCCTGTAACCCCAGGACTTTGGGAGGCCGAGGCGGGCGGATCACGAGGTCAGGAGATCGAGACCATCCTGGCTAACACGGTGAAACCCCGTCTCTACTAAAAATACAAAAAAATAAAAATTAGCCGGGCATGGTGGTGGGTGCCTGTAGTCCCAGCTACTCGGGAGGCTGAGGCAGGAGAATGGCATGAACCCGGGAGGCGGAGCTTGCAGTGAGCCGAGATTGCGCCACTGCACTCCAGCCTGGGCGACAGAGAGAGACTGTCTCAAAAAAAAAAAAAAAAAATTAACAGAATGCAAAAGAAAAGAACCTATCTCTCCCATCCTTATCTCTACCTAAAAGACAGAGCTCAATCGTTGGAGACCATGGAAAATGTTCTCCCTGTTTCACAGTCATCCCCGTAGCTAATAAAACACTACCGCTGCTGCAGCCATAGACTTCACGTGTTTCACGCTAGTTTTATCCTTCTTTCCTCCCACTTCAGCCTCAACATTCCTCTCCCGGAAGAATAGTCCTGGTTTTTCCCTTATGTAATTTGCATTCCTGTCCCGGAAGAATATTCCTATTTTTCTCTTATATAATTTGATATTCTATTTAATCGGTGATTGGTTGACTTAGAAAACACGGTGTGCACCATCTGAGCTCTTCTGGTTTATTTCTTCCTGTGTTTATAACCCTGTAACTAACATTTGATCCTTTCATTGATTTTGTGCCTTTATACTTTTGTCCAACGGATTACATGTTATATAATTGCTCCTGAGCAATTTTTAAAAATAAAATCTTCCAGCAGTTGGCTGACTAACAAACACTGCTAACAAAGCATAATGATCAACCAAAAGATACCTTCAAGGGAATGTGATGGGTTGTGCCTGAGTGATGTGGGACGGGTGTGAATACGTCTTAGGGAAAAGGAAAAGGAATATAACATTGTTTATTGCCCCCAGAGCTTGATAAATCACACACGAGCCCCACTCTGTCCTTCGGAGACAAGACATTTCACTTGCAGACATATCTTTCTTCTTTTCCACTTT
Source organism: Homo sapiens (assembly GCF_000001405.40). Classification (NCBI taxonomy): domain Eukaryota; kingdom Metazoa; phylum Chordata; class Mammalia; order Primates; family Hominidae; genus Homo; species Homo sapiens. Next base: position 14,141,273 of record NC_000006.12, read on the forward strand.
TTTATTTCATTCTCCCTGTGGGATCCCAGGCAGCGCACAGTGAGGCAACAAAGGACTATCAGGAAAACATCATCTAGGTGGGGTGTATTTGTTTCCATGGTTCCTGAGAAGTTAGGGTGAAGGAAGGAGGCAAAATGTGAGCAGTGGAAGCAAATCTTCTATTCTTTTCTTCTTTCAATGCATAAACACGTACAGTATCCCTCTGGGCGAGGGAGACAGACCTCACTTAGTGGTTCATTTAGATTCTGCATGAGAAGGAGATATTGTTTTATTCTTCATTATAAGAGGAGCTATTTCTTCAAATTGACCATTTCCTGTCCCCCGCCCCAACTCTTTGCAAAAGTAGCCTGTTTACAATCTACTCTTGTAGATTACAGTACTTAGTAGAGACAAGTAGAGAGAAATTCAGACATTGAAAAGCTTTGAGACATCCCACAGAGTTGGAATGCTTTTTTCAAAGGGAAAAAAATCTGTAAATGTGTATGTACCCAAAAGAGCCAGCTGGACAGCCCATAAACGGCTCCCATTCAGGAACAACAAAAGCCTATGTCAGAAGTCAAGGGACAGGAGGCTGAGAACTAATAATAATTTTGTACTTACACAGCAGTTTTCATCTGAAGACCTCAGAGTGCTTTATAAACATTAATTAAATTGCCCAACAGCCCTGTGAGATGGCTGTGTATCACTATTTCCAATTTGCAGGGGGTATAGGAAGGAGAAATGTATGCATGGAGTGAAGTTGGAACCAGGCCATACTACAATGCATGTGGATTGCGAACTCAGAAAAGGCACCGGGAATATCTCCCTTGTGAATCCAGGGCTCTGGTCAGGTGTACATAGTCCCTGCCAGGCCAAAGAGACAGTGTGATGACTCCCTCCCCAGCAGGACCCACTTTATGCATACAGTCAACTGGCCACCCACACCCGGGCTTGAAGGATGCTGGCATGATCTCCCCAGCAGGCTCATCACCACATGTTAGATTGCGGTCATTTCAGACTCATTCCTTTAGTGAGAATTGTGATGGCAAATCGGCTTCACCGCAGGTGTCAGCTCTGATTGCTGGTAGGTACAGCCAGGCCGGCTGCCTGGAGGATCGCTGTATCTAGTGTGCCTAGTAGAATAGGCCATGATTGATTATTGATATCTGGAAAAGGTAGTTGTTGTAGATTGAATTGTGTCTCAAGAAAAGATACGTAGAAGTCCTAATCCCTGGTACCTGTGAATGTGAGCTTATTTGGAAACAGCGTCTTTGCAAATGTAGGCAAGTTAGGATGAGATCATTCTGGATTAGGATGGGTGTCCTTATAACAAAAGTGAAAGGTGGAGACAGACACACAGAGAAGAGAAGGCCTTGTGAAGACAGAGGCAGAGACTGGAATCATACATCTACAAGCCAAGAAATGTTGAGGATTGCTGGCAACCACTAGAAGCTAAGAGAGAGGCCTGGAACAGATTCAGAGGGAGCATGGCCTTTGCTGACTCCTTGATTTCAGACTTCTGGCCTCTAGTACTAAGAGAGAATACATTCCTGTTGTTCTAAGCCATCCGGTTTCAGGTACTTTGTCATGGCAGCCCTAGAAACTAATATAATAATCTGAATATTGGAAAGCTTTCAAATGCAGGATTGTTAAAATGATCACTCATTTAAAAACACACCCTACCATCTTGATAACTGAAGGAAGGTTTCCTGGAGGGACTGGGCTGTGACTGTGGTGTGCTCCAGCTGGAGATGAGGTCAGAGTGCAATGGTGGTGACAGGGACATCACAGCGATCCTCTGGCATGGCAGGTGTTGATGGTTCTCAGACACTTAGATGTTTTGGCAGGTCAATCCTGTCTTAACATGTTGAATTGCACTTGTGCAAATGCATTTAACACATTCCATTTCTTAATCCCCACAATAAATCAGAAAATCAAAGAATGCACCCAGAAGCCAGTGGTGCTAGATCAAGTGTAGCAAAAGGAAAAAAATCTTTAGACATTAAGACCCAAAGTCTGGAAATACCATTCATCTGGCATGGGTGAGGTTGCAGACGTTCGTGGTAAGAGATTATATGTGGTATTTATCTTTAGTCTTACCCTTTTCAGGCTCCTTTGAAAAAAATGCAAACAGGCCCCAGAGGGGGTAACACATAATAAGGTAGAAAGATGGTGGCTGACACACTGGTGTGAAAAAAATATAGTCTTTGGAGTCAGTCAATGTGAATTAGAATCCAGGTGACTCAATTTACTCATCTGGTAAATGGGTATGATATTCTCATAGATTTGTTGTGAGAACTAAATGCATTGATATTTGTGTAAAGGTGTGGTGTGCAGTATGTGTTAAATTATCAGTAGCATTTGCTTCTGCTCAATAAGTAGTTTTCTTCTTTTGGAGCATGGAAGCTGATGATATAGGCCCGGCAAGCTGGAGGAGGGGCAGAAGGCGAGGCTGGGAGAGATGGCTCCATTGAAGGAGGCTGCATAATTGAGCCTGCCATTGGACTGTGGCTTGGAGAGAAGTTGCTGCCTACTCTACGTGGCTTTAGTTAGCCCCTCCCAGGATTTCCCTGGGAAGATTCTCCTTGTCTAGGGTCACCCCCGAGAGCTCCTGGCAGCAGCAGCAGCAGCAGCCTGTCCACAGTGGGCCAACAGTAGGCAGTGGGGCTTCTTCCTTCTCTGTCTCTTCTCTCTAAGGTAGGGTTCATCTTCTGGGGAACCAGAAATGCGGAGCAACAGGGAGGCAGCTCGAGTTGTGGATGGATCCTCTTCACAGGCTGAGAGCAAAGCAATATAAAGAAAGCAAGAAGTCACTCCTCTTAGACTAGGCCAAACATCGGCATCAGCTGAACCCAAAGGAGGTGAAATCAGCAACCTTACTTTCTTTGAAAGTGATTTCCAGGCTGGGCACAGTGGCTCACGCCTGTAATCCCAGCACTTTGGGAGGCCGAGGTGGGAGGATCACTTGAGGCCAGGAGTTCAAGACCAGCCCAGGCAACATGGCGAGATCCTGTCTCTACAAATAATAATAAAAAAAAATAGCCAGACATGGTGGCGTGTGCCTGTTGTCCCAGCTACTTGGGAGGCTGAGGCAGGAGGATCCGTTGAGCCTGGGAGGTTGGGGCTGCGGTGAGCTATAAGTAACAGTCATAATGAGTGCATCATACCACTGCACTCCAGCCTGGGTGGCAGAATGAGACCCCTGTCTCAAAAAAAAAAGTGACCTCTGAACCCCCCTTATATTTTTAACCCGAATTTACCCAGACACAAATGATCTTTGCCAAATAACTCATTATATTTTCATTTTTTAAAACAAATCCTAACAAATTTTGAGTATAACTTTATTTCTCCAGGCTCTTCATGACCAAGGACATGAGTAACAACCCTGATAAAAATAAAATTATCCTTGACGCTGCATTTCCCCACCAAATAGGGCTGGTGTCCCGCGCACAGGCCCCATTCTTGTGGGCCTCCATGGCTCTCCTTGGCCCTTGGCCCCCCGTCAGTGTTGTATTGTTGGTCTGGCCACTGCTGCTGTCTGTGCTGCCACCTGGTGGATGGGTTAAGCAACTGCTTCCCCCATCCCTCCTGCTCAGGCTGACTTGCTGCTCCCAAGGCTGCGGCCGCTGGGCCCCTGGGAGTCGTAAAGGCCTCTCTTGCCAATAAAACCTCCCTACATAATAAGCTAACTTCTTGCGTTTCTTTCAGTTCCTGGAATTGGGGCATTTTCCACCACCCCAGTGCCCCATTCAAAAACATCTTGCCCCCAACATTAGCCAAAAACCACAGCAGGGGCCAGACACAACTGTTGTCACTACAGGAAGATGCCCTGCCCACGTGGGACTTCACAGGTTGTACAGCCTTTCTCTGTCATCTTTGTAACTCTTAATCCCAGAACAGGCTTGACCCACCAGGTTCAGTCTCCCAGTAATCTTCCCTAGGAAGCCTGTGGAGGTTGGTTGCCATATAGCTTAGATTTGGGGTGGAAGGGGGCATCTGTAATTTCAAATTTCCCTTCCCACTGCATGAATCTTTTTGTTCAAATAACAAGGTCAGCCTATTTTCTGCTCATGTGCACTAGAGTTCCTGATGAGCCCATCGCTTAGGGCAGTGTTTTCTTTCCCTCGGGCTCTTATAACCTCCCTTCCCCACAAGAATGTGGGAACAAGTGACCAGCCACCTCCTTCAGCTTCAGTCTCTGCATGTCCTTCATGGCCCTCCCAAGAGCTAGTTCAGAATAGCAGCAGGTCGACTGGGATGCAGCCCGGTAGGCCCGCTCTCATGGTTGCTCTGGTCCTCAGGACTGGGTAGGAGCAGAGGAGAGAGGAGAGGAAGAGGTGTGCCTTAGTTTCCTCTTCTCCTCCCTGCCTCCTTGCCTAAATCATGCAAGCTGGGAGTGGGATGCTCTCACCTGGCTCCTTTATTCTCATAAAAATCCCGTTGTCCCCAGTGCCAGATGCTGAGTAAAGAGAAAGCCAGGTCAAGCCTCAACCATAATGAACAGGAAGCAAGAGCAGCCTGGAGGTTCTGGGCACAGAAAAGGGATTGGTGCAGAGAAGAGAAGAGGTCCTATGTGGCAGGTCTTTGCTGGGGAAAGGGTGCAGTACACACGTGGGGAGCGTGAGCTTCGCACCAGGCACTTTGCATCCGTTAGCTTTTCCCCACTTTATGGATTAGATAACTGAACCTCAGAGAAGTCAGATAATGTCCCAAGGTCCCATGGCTAATGTGTGGAGCCAGGATCCAGACTCACGTCTGCAGATCTATTTGATTTCCATGCTCTGGCTTTTGCTGCTAAACCCTCCTCCTCACACTGGGGGAAGAATGCGTGTGCTTCTGGGAACATGTGTGCAGAAGAAGCCTGGCCACCTTCTCCTGACTACTGCCCCTCCGTGCCTCTGATCATGTTACCATTGGTGTACTTTCCAACCAAATATTTGCAGTCATCTCTGAGGTGGCAGAGATGGCACCAGTGTGCCCACATCTGGGAGGACTCAGGCTGCGTGACCACTGGCACAGGATCCAGGCTCGTCCCTTGTCCACTACAGACCCCAGATGGCCTGAATCAGATGCTCTTGGCAGGGAAGAGCGTGAGCAAAATGGCAACCAGGCCTGAGAGGGTCCCCCAGACACAGCCCTGAGTTCTGTCTCTCTGGAAAGGCCGATTTGTGCAGCAAGCTCTTGGGAGGTAGATAACCCAGTCTGACAAGCGACCTTGAAAGAATTACAGCAATAATATTTTCAGTTGGTTGGGCCAATCTTGGCCAATTTCTCCAGAGCGTTAGGTGCGAACGTCAGTCTGGGACTCCACATTGCTCATGCATGTGTTTGCCGTGTCCCCTTTGCTGTTTTAAGTGTTTATCCTGTGGCTTGTACAAGCGACATCGCTCTCTTCCCTGGTGAGAGCCAGTCTCCAGGCCTCCCTCCCCCACACTCTGCTAGAAGTGCAGCGAAGCAATGAGAACAAGGATCTTGTTCCAAGCCCACTGAGCAAGTGCTAGCATTTAGTGACCTTCTGCACCAGTAATTCGGTCCTTCGGGGATTGAAATTGATTTTCCTCCTTTCTGTGTGTGAGCACAACCCAAGTGCACAGCTCTGTTATGAATGCTGATCTCAGGTGTGTATTTAAAGGTGAACAGCAACACTCTTGAAGACAGAAATGAGAAAAGTTGTTTGCATAGCCTCTGTGAATGGACGGGATGTCTGCTCCAAAGACTGGCTTTGAATTTCTCCAAGCCCTTTTGTGTGTATGTGCATACATGTTTGTGTGTGTGTGTGTGTGTGTATGTGTTGGGGTGAGGTAGGGTGTCCAAAACTGTAAGTGAACACATGTAAAACTACTCAAATTCCTTCCCATGAAGCTGGTCCAAGAGTGGGGTGTTTGTCTCTGGCACGAGATTTAAGAAGGTGTCCAAAGAGTCAGTACTCAAGATTAAAATGTTTTAATGCTGTATTTTTTTAAAAATCCAAGTGAATGGAATGATGAGCAAAATCTGCAAATTTTAAATAAGTAAACAACCAGCATTACTAATTTTTTTCTTTTGCTTCAGGCTCCAGTACGGCTTGGCAGGGCACCTTTTTGTATAACATTTTGATATTTTATTCATCATGGATTTTTCTATGTTCATTTTAATTTTTGCAATATTGGAAATATTCTAAACATTTAGAAATATTGGAAATATTTTATATCTTGATCGCTGAGTTTTCTGGGATCCCCTCATGGTTTGCATCCCAGGTGAATTGCCTCTTCCTAGTCCCAGCCCCCTTTAAACCTTGCCTGAGTCAGGGGTAGGACTGATTTGAGACTGGCCAAAGACACTAGCTCCGTTATTTCCCACTAGTCGAAAGGCGTTGTTGAACTATTCCTCTAGTTAGTAACTGTTAAAGCCCAGATGGCATTCATATTTTGGCCTTTGCTCTGTCACAGCTCAAGTCATCGTCAGTGCCAAGTAGAAGAAGTAAAGGAGGCTTAGTTCTCTTGGGGGGAGTGCCAATTTTGTAGACCTTGATGGTCCAAGAACTGCCCAGGCCATGAGAAGATACAATGAGGGCTGTGGTAGAAGCACAAGTTTAATTTTGATGCCCAGCCCTAGCTGACGAGGTTTGTAGAGGAGCCTCAACCTCGTCTCCCACCTTGTCCAGCTCATAGCACACACTTGGCTGTGCACCCAGCGTACCCCCACATTCCCACCGTACGTGAATCATCATCCCCAGTGTGTCCCCCAGTGACAGGCTGCACAGGTGTGATATTCATAGCTGCCGTTTGAGGATGTAGACGGGTGACTGCTGGTGTTTCTGGAAAAGCCAGCTATTTCGTAATTGTAAAATTGACCTCTACTCCACAGCTTCACTGCACACTGGAGTATTTCCTGGCAGATCCATCTAACCCAAAATGAGATTACATTTCCTGGCAAGAAGTGGGCAACTGGTTTAAAATCTCACAGCAACCGCATGGCTCAACTTGCAATATTTCTTTACATTCACTTACCCAGGTCTTTCTGGGTCTATTAACTGGCAAGGTTAAAGGGGCAACATTGGGAGCTTGGGGTCCTACCTTTTGAACCAAGAGGTCAGTGAGAGACGGCCTGACTCTGTTAGTTTTAACTTTTCCTCTCAAACCTATTCTCCCTCCCCCATATGCCTTTCTTCAGGAGCTGTCGTCCTCACCTGGACCCAACCAGTCATTCCCAGTGTTACCTCCTTCATTATTTAGAGCCCCTCTGCTGCCAGAGCGATCCTGTTCCAGTGCTGGTTTGGCCATGCCATTTCACTTTTTTAGAGCCTTCTGGTCTCCCACCCTCACTGGAATTCTGCCCACCTCCCTGCTCAGGGCTCATGCTCTCCCTGCCTGGTTGTTTGCAGTTCAGTCTCAGCCTCTGCGGCTTTGCACACATCATACCTCCAGTCTCGCTCCAGTCTCCTGCCTGGGGGTGACTGCCTGAGCTCTGCCCAGGCAGCATGGTGGTGGGGTCTTAGGGTCCAGCATCTGGGCTTTTTACTCCTTGCCCTGATGTCAGCGGGGCACCAGCCCCTGCCCTCTGACCTGCCTGGTAGCCTCGAGCCTGGAGCTTGTCCATGTCATCCCCCAAATAAGACCCCTGCATATCCTGGTGGCAGTGGGCATGGGGACCAGTTACCCCACTGGACAAGTTGGGAAGTCTTACTGCCTCTTTTGTGACATCTAATCAATCTTCCTGATTGATTCAATGCCCTGTCTCCCACCTTCAATGACACTCTAGCGGGGCCTGTAATTCGTGAATCTGTCTGGGGTTCTAGAGAGCAGATGAGCTTATTTAGCATCGGTAACCCCTTTGCTGCAAGCACTCACAACTCTCTCAGTTTTGCTAACATCCTTGTTCTGACTTCATTTTTCTCTTCTGTAAAATGATAAAAAATTTTACATTATTTTCAGTTCTGTTAAAGGAGTGGAATGAGCTAATCTCTCAGGTGACTTTTAAGCCCAGGATTATTTTATGATTAGTCAAGGAACTTAGGTTTGGGGAAGTGTTGCGTTAAGTTTCTCTTTCTTTTTTAGTTGACTTTGGTCAGAGAGGGATCGGGGATTGTTGGCACAAGGAAAAACTGGCAAATTAAGGTACATTTATTTTTAGGTTAAAGTCAAATGTTGGTTGTACGTATTAATCTTTTTTATGATTCTCCATGTTAATAGGCATTTTAATTAGTTGACTAATGACAATGATAGTGTGTTGGATAAGAAGCTTTGTGAAAGGAAGCAACCAGGGATTGACACTAGAGAACAGAAGGACCCACTTAACAAGGCGTGAGTGATGTCACCCTCTTGTGGAGGCAGTAACCACATTACCTGCATCTCCTCCGTGACTTGGTAGGTAATGGTGTAAGGTTCAGGGACAGATGTTATTTGGACCAATTAAATAGCTTAGAATCCTTAAAAAAGACCAAGTTTTCATTATGCTTTCCAAGAGTGGACTGTAATTTTTATTTAAGTACACACAAACCACAGAAGTCTGAACTGTACTACTAGTCAATGTATGTAACTGTTCTTTGGCAAATGGGACATCGCCCTAAATTGCTACTTAGGGGGCCATGTGCAGCCACTGCTGGCAGCAACAAGTCACCGGGCAGCGCTTTCCTGGCAAGCGGGGAAGGGATCTTAGCACTGCAATGATTTTGGAAAGGAAAATGAGCAGATGTGCCCCCGCCTGACTCCCCGCTTGCCTTGGGACTCATTTGCACATTCTAGGGGCTTGGATACCCTAAGGCACACAGTTGCTTTTGGTTAATTGTTATTACTGCATGTGTAAGGAGAACTCTGGGTAAAATTGCCAAGCCTTGCGCCTGGCCCCAAACTGGAAAAATCTTTCAAACAGAAAATGAAGTTTAGTTTGGCAGCCTCATAGATCATTAGCCTGAAAATGTACACTTGGCCTGGCTGGTAGGTTGGAGGAAAGGAAACAGGACTATGCAGGGTTTGCATGCTCTGCCCAATGAGGCCAGCCTCCTGGCCCATGGGCCCCATAGAACCCAGGCCTGACCGAATCTCTGCTTGGGACCAGGTGTTCCTACCCTATCGTTTTGCTGTCAGGGGAAGGGCTGGTCCTCCCTGGTGGTATCTCATTTGCCCAGCATGAGCATTATGCTCTGTTGGATGGTACACTTTGTCTATTCGGTTCATGCTCCTCCCATGGCTGTGCCAGCTCCACCTGACTGCCTCGTTGCCCATGACCTTGGCCTCCCTTCTGACTCTTACTACCCCTACACAATCAACACCAGGACATTGAACATGGACACAGCTGTGGTTTCTTCTTCCATCTGAGGCCCTCCTTCACAAGCCTGGGACCCTGGAGGATTTTATCTGATTTGTTGCACAGCTCTCATGCATGCAGTTAACCTAATTTCTGACGTGGCTCAATTTCATCCCATGTGGAAGGAAATGTGCCAATCTTTGGACCTCCACAGCTAGGTTTGGGAGCATGTTGATATCACTGATGATGTGTGGGTTACTCAGATTTATGTGGCAAGTTTGCTTGGTAAGCCAAACCATTGGGGGCACAACCCCCTGCTCTTTCCAAACTGTGACCAAAACTATCTGCATCTCAAGGTGTTCTTTGAGCAGAGGTTATCTACTCAAGCGAGGGTTCATGCAAACAAAAGTGTCAGTCACAATGTTGACTCTGT